>NC_000009.12:101250855-101402370 GCF_000001405.40 Homo sapiens
GACACCACAGCACCTCCCCTATTCTTTGGAGATTCTGATCCTTGTCCATGGCTGACTGTTGCTTTCTCTGCAGGTCTATTCTTGTCATCACCTTTTTCAGTCTCATCTCCTGGACTCCTCTTTATTCTATGGGTTCACTAACTAGCTGATCACATACTCTGATGACCCCCCAAATTGTGTCTCTAACCAAGAACTTTCTTCAATTCATATTCAGCTGCCTCCTTCATGTCTCACTTGGATGTCTAATAGGCATATCAAAATATGTTCAAAATTAAACTTATTTAATTTTAAACCGATAGCCCCCAAATTTGTTCCTTTTACAGCCTCTCCCATGTGGACCAAGACTTCATTTTTGTGCACTGTTGTTTCTCTACTGCCTGGCATATAGTAGGTGCTCAGCAAAAGTTTAGTGAATGAATCATTTTTTATTTTCACAGTAGTTTAAACTGTTGTAAAGCAGGGTATTTCACTTTTGCTTTATTATGAGAGAGTAAGCTAGATAGAATGTTGTGAGATTGCTCTGGAAATGCAATAGCACAGCAGTGTTAGAAGTATTCTGAGTACTTAGTAACTGATGTGTAAGCAAACCATTGTACCAAATCTGATTTTTCTGCCTGCCATCTTCTGCTCCAGTCTCGTATAGATTACCACCAGGGTCAATCTCTTCAATGACAGATTTGACCATGCCACTGCCTTGCTCAAAATGCTTCGGACTATATAAAGAAATTTAACTTCCTCTACCTGGCATCCAAAGGTCTCCTTTTTTGAGTTTCACCTGTTACTTCTCCATCTTCATCCTGAGATAGGGCCCTTGATACAAGCAGCATCATAACCCTAAAGGTGACTCTGGTCTCTCATGTTCATCAAGACTTTTTGGTTGGAAATGACAGAAATGAGAAGAGAACGTACTGGCTCATGTAGCTGTAAATATGTCTCTGTACTGATATAGAAGGATGGTTGGTCACAATGTATTGTTGAGAGAAAAGCAAGCTGTAGAACAGCATGTATATTGTGATTCTAATTTTACATATTTTTAAATCTACCTATGATTGAGTGTGTTTATATGCCTGAGGAGGAAAAAGTCTGGAAGGATAAATATACACCAAGTATTAGTAATAATTAACCTTTAGTGAATAAAAAATCCTGATGATATGTTTTCCAATTTACATATTTATATATTACAATATTCTATAGAAAAGGTTTAAACTTACACTTCGTTCATGGTATCACCCTGCTAATGCAATGCCATCATATGCCATCCAATATGGAGCCAGTAGCTATGTATGGCCACTTAAATTTAAAAGTGAAATAAAAAAATTCCATCCATCAGCTGCACTAGCCACATTTCAAGTGCTCAAGAGCCACCTATAGCTAGTGCCTGCCACATTGATTGCACAGGTATAGAACATTTCCATAAATGCACAGTGTTACTCCCACAATGTGAAACACCTGTCAAGCTAGATGAACTAGGTGTTCACCTGATTACTTTCTCTAGTATAATTGGCTTCATTTAGATGCAGCCAGAGGGAAGCAGGTGCAGGTCTGAACACTTGTGATCTGACAGCCACAAGGAGTTTGACCGAAGTCCCAATCTGTTCATTTATGCAGGATCCTTAAATGTGTTTGGGAAAGACATTATCTTAGTGGCAACCTATTGAGTAATTTCAAAGGGAAATAAGAAAAATCCTTATCCATTAATTTTTAAAGGAAAATGAGAACATCTGAGTCTCTTTGCAACATTGAGATTTACCTGTTTTAATTAGAAAAACAAACTGCTTGACCTGAGAGAATGTTTTTCCTTTTCATCTTATTTGCCTAATTCCGAAGTAACTTGGCCATGCTCATGGAGAAAGAAGAATCATGTTCCTTTCTGGCAAGGAAATTAAAACGGTACCATAAGTACTTCTGTTTAAAACTGTTTGAAAGCAAATGTAGGAAATGCTTACCATGTTTCCTAAGTTTTTTTTTTAATTGATTTGTTCCATGTGGCATGATGAAAACTCGATGTTCGTTTTATGTTTTCATTCTAATATGGAGTCATAAAATCATTTTTCATTCTAATGTGGAGTCATAAAATCATTTTTCATTACCTAAGTCCCTAATTTAAAAACTCATGATGAGAAAATAATTCTTATTATAACCAAAACTCTTTTAAAAAGATTTGAGATAAGTGTGATTTTAATATTTAAATAGAACTTTATTATATCTCTGATCTCCTTTGAAAACTATGAAACAGTAGGTTCATGAAAATATTCCTCATTTTTTAGAGCAAAATTATTACACTGATAGCTGTGATGAATTACAGTGGAGGGTTCCACAGCATTTCATGGTTGTGGACTTTTGTACAAGAGTCAACAGCAATCAGGTGTCTTTTTTTTTTAATTTGATAAAAGACGAAGAATGCATTAGTGGCCAGGCATGGTGGTTCATGCCTGTAATCCCAGCACTTTGGGAGGCCGAGGCAGGCGGATCATTTGAGGTTAGGAGTTCAAGACCAACCTGGCCAACATGGTGAAACCCCATCTCTACTAAAAATACAAAATGAGCTGGGTGTGATGGCGTACACCTGTAATTACAGCTACTTGGGAGGCTGAGGCACGAGAATTGCTTGAACCCAGGAGGCTGCAGTGAGCCAAGATCATGCCCCTGGACTCCAGCCTGGTTGACTGAGTGAGACTTTGTCTCCAAAAATAAAAAAAAAAATGCATTAGCATGCAGCATGATTCTTATTTTCTACTCATTCTGTTTCTTTTTCAACAAGTCAGATTTATTACAACCATAAATTGAGAAAGGCAGTATTTTGGGTCTATTATCAAATGCCACCTTTTATTCAACGTAAAACCTTCTAAGTCTATAGGATGCTAAATATTCATTCATGGGCTCTATTTGGTCTTTGCGTCTACCAAATTGAATTAATTATACTGCCCAGTATGTGGTTCAGTCATTTGATGATTTGTCCTCACCATTCCCTATCCTGACTCTAATGTATTTATTATATGCCCTTAAATATGTATATACCCTGAAAAGTATGTAGTGTTTTTAGTACATGTTTTTAACTTAGATAAAAATCATTGTACTACGGGTCTTTCTCTGCTTCTTTTCTGTTTTTCACTTAATGGTTTTAAGCTTTGTTTTTAAGCTTTTTAGTCAGTAGAACATAATGATTAAGAGTAGAAAATCTAGACCAGCAGTCCCCAACATTTTTGGCACCAGAGACCAATTTTGTGGAAGACAGTTTTTCCATGGACCAGGGGATAGGGATGGTTTTAGGATGATTCAAGCACATTACATTTATTGTATATTTTATTTCTATTATTATTAAAATATAACATATAATGAAATAATTATACAACTCACCATACGTAGAATCAGTGGGAGCTCTTAGCTTGTTTTCCTGCAACTAGACAGTCCATCTAGGGGTGATAGGAAACAGTGACAGATTATCAGGCATTAGATTCTCATAAGGAACATGAAACCTAGATCTCACACTTGTGCAGTTCACAATAGGGTTCATGCTCCTATGAGAATCTCATGTCACCGCTGATTTGACAGGAGGCAGAGCTCAGGTGGTAGTGTGAGCAATGGGGAGCAGCTGTAAATACAGAAGAAGCTTTGCTCACTTGCCTGCCACTCACCTCCTGCCCAGTTCCTATCAGGCCACAGACCAGGGGGGTTGTGAATCCCTGATCTAGATTATACTACATAGGGTGAATGCTGGCTCTTCCATGCTGTGTGACCTTATGCTAATAACTTAAACTCTCCAATCCAATAGTTGCTAATATCCACTTTGTAAAAATATAAGGACTGAATGAATGTGTGTAAAGAACTGAGGCTTAGAAAAGTATTAGACATATAAGAGCCACTTATGTGTTTATGAAAATCCAATACATTATTTTTTAACAATTATGTAATATTCCATCATAGGCAGTACCTCATTTTACTTATTTTCCTGTTCCCTCCAACTTTTTAACCAAAAATGACACTGTATTGACAACCTTATGTCTTTCCTTGCACAAACCTGTGGGATGTATACCAACGAGTGTGACTACTGGGTTATAGGGCATATGCACACTCCCCTTCTCCAGGCAGTGCCAGGTTGTACTCCAAAATGTCTGTGCCAACTTAAAATCTCTTGGCTGTGCATGGTGTTTCCATTTGCCTATATTCTCATCAACACTTATTATCTAACCTTCAAATTTTTGCTAATTTGATTAGACATAAAAATAGCATGTCACTATTGTTTTGATTTGCATTTCTCCATTAGTGAGCTCATGTATATGAAAGTTAGTCATTTGGATTTCTCTAGCATTTGGCTGGTAAATGTTTAACTCCTGGCTATAGGGGATGATGAAAGAGAAGGGAGTTTGATTTGTTGTGCAGTTTGTCAATTTCCATGGTATAAATACTGCAGCATGACCAATTTCAAGCTACCCTTTAGCAACTAGCTCATGAAATTTCATAATAGGCTCTCATAAGATGGCACAACACAGCTCCAGGACACTATTGGATTGTTCCCTCTAGAAATTGCTTATTCATAACTTTGCCCATGTAAATATTTGATTTCCTGTCTTTCCCTTCTGGATTTACAGGAGTTTGTTTTATATATATGATGTTAACTACATCTGTGTTTCGAAGATTGCAAATAATTTCTCCCACTCTGCAAGAGTTAACCCTTTTGTTAACTTTATTGAAGAGTTAGTTTACTGAACAGAATGCCTTGAAGTTTGATGTAATTATTTCCATTTTTTTGCTTTGGCCTTTGCTTTAGGGATCTTATTTAAGAAATGCATCTTACTCCAAATGTGTTTATCAAACACCAGGTTTCATTCTTGCTGCCTGGGATTCAAAGATGAGTTCCTGAGGAGCTTGCAGTTTAGGGGCAAGAAAACAACATGCAACTGAGTAGTGGCAATACAATATGGAATGTGCTTATCATTGCTACATTTGCAAATATTTAGATGTGCCTTTGCAAAGCAAAACAATTTTCCCCAATAGTGCATCTATGTGAATGATTAAAGGGTCTGAACTTCACGAGCTAGGAGAGGTAAAATAATAACTCCTTATAACTTCACAAAGCATCCTAGTGTCTTGGGAATTTCATCTTGTCTCCTTTGAGAAAGTTGTCCAAAGATAAAAGAACTTGAGATGACCTTACAGCAGTGGTGGAGCCAAGTCCAGTGTTCCATTGCTAACCCATTTCTCTGGCCATACACATTTGCTGCTGCTCCTCTTAGTTTCCGCTCCTGCTCCTCCCTGTGCTTCCTTAAAAAACAACAACAGCAGCAACTCTTGTATTATTATCCTTTAACCCAACTGTTTGAACTGCATCCTCTCTTTTGAAACTTTCTGCATATAGCTTATAAGCTTTAAAACAGGATATATGTGTTTTACATAATAATTGATAGAAACTCAAGAGTTTAATTTTTAAAATATTAGGTAGGTGTTTGCTTACACGTTCATAGAATGGTGTGATCACATAAAACTACACCCAGATAAGCCTTGAAGAAATATACGTAAGTCTTTTAGAGATATAGATGGTGATAGTGATGCTGAGCCTGACTGCATTGAAGAAGAACTATCTTGTGAGGAGTTGAGGAGCTCCAAGCCATATTTTTCGAGGGTTCAGGGGGTAAGCAGACAGCCACTGCTGACGGCTTCACCAGAATTGCTCCAAAGCAACCCAGAGATCCAAAAGGGATCTCCGTAATCGCAGAAATTCCAGGGGTGGTGCTCATTGTAAAGTATGTTGTTGCTGCTATTATTGTTTGCCACATTCTTTCATTCTCCTTTCTTAGCTTGCTATGACATATGCATAATAGTGAATAGTGTAGCAAAGAACCTGATGTGGGGGTCCCTATGCCTGAACTATGAGATGGCATTTGTCTCTGAGTTCCTCAAAATGGTCCAAGCAAAATGTTCCTATTTTGTAACCACAATTGAGGTCAATGGTTCAATGATCAAGAACAGATAGTATATTTATCCTGATAGAAATAAAGATTGTAGCAATACAAAAGGCTTTTATTAAATTTGATGCCTGTAAACAGGTTGCTTCTAACACCCCCAAGACAAATAAACAGTCATACTTTTTCTCTCCCTCCCTTCTTCTTTCCAGTTCAGAAACTGTCTGCATTTCCCAAATTCAGTTTCATGAATATTCTTTATATTGATAATTTAGTGCGCCATGGGTAGAAAGTGGGGGAAGCTCTGTGTTCAAATGAGTTTAAATGACTGTATGCCAAAATGCATTTCTGGGAATTCCACAATACCAGTAGGCCCTGAGAATCTTCCAGTAACAAAATCTGTCAAATTGAGTTTAACCCAAGATTTCACAAACTTCTCCTGGCCCCAGATACTTATCTCTCTGTCTCATGTCCCCACACTCCCTCTTCTTTCCCAGAGCACTTATTACTATCTTGTATATTGGAGAACACCACTCAGAACACATTTATATGAAACCAATAGTTTAGTTTTAACCAATGTAATAATATGTCCCAAACAGTTTCATATCATATCACAAACTATAGACTCTCACCCACTTATTCAACCAATATTTTATTATTATGTGCCTGTGCTAAACTGGGGTTACAGATTTGAAGGATCCTTTCCCTTAGGGCCTCACATCTTGGTTTAGAGGGATTGGGATAGTCACACCTCATGCCAGAAGGGCACAGTTCCTGGCAGGTGAGCACAGGAGGGAGCCATCACATTATGCTGTGAAGACTTCCGAGCAATTTCAGGAGCTTTAGTGTTCATCTAAGCCAATGTCCATCCACTTCTGGGTTCTTCTTTATAATTCGACAACTAGTGTTCTGTACTAGAATATTCTGGTGATAGAAAACACATTACATGCTCCCATCCTCAAATAATGAAAAGTACAGCATCAAATATATCACAAAACCCCATACAACTTAATCCCACCATAGCCCATCCATAATGATTAGGCAAACTTCTTTTGTTGGGCTAAAATCCTATTTTTTTTTAGATTAAGTGGATTAATCTATTTTTAAATCCTTAAGTAAGTTATCTTTATTTTGGACTTACAACATCATACATTAGGGTTTTAATGTGGATATTATTATAGCATGAACAGGCCAACAAAATTAATTATAAAAGTTTTCTTTACTCTTCTGTCTAGGTTTAAGACTCAAAATGACTGTTAGAACAAGGGAAAGGCTAAAAGCCACACGTTAGGCAGAAAGTTAAACCAGTCTTCCCAAAGCCAGTTCAGTACTCATTTTTGTACAATGCCTAAAGCTGCACAAGTAGTTAATGGTCAATCTAGTACTGCATCCAGGTCTTAAAATTCCGAAGGCCATACATTTCTATTACACCATGACAGCCAGCTCAAATGTCACTGCTGCCACATACTTCTCTCTCAGAGTTAATATTCACTTCTTGATGTCATTGTGGTGTCTGTCCATCCTTCCTTCCATCTTTCTCAGCCACTCATCTATCCATCTGTTAAGGTATAACCAATTGTGTTATAACACTGATAATATGGTCACATCATCATATCCTTGAAAAGCTAAGAACTTCATCTTTATATTTCTCTCATCCCTCTGAGGGGCTTGGCACATGATTGGTGTGTAGCAGGAGTTTGCTGACTTCTATTGTTTTACCAGAGAGACCTCAAGTTAGCACCAAAATCAGTTTAGTTTAACGAAAGATATAGCGGAACTATAAAATTTTAGACCATAGAGATCCTTGATGGATTGCATCTATCCCCTGTCCCTCCCTTAAACAAGTGAATAAATAAGTAAAATGCACAAGTCATCCATGACCTTCTATTCACAGAATTCTCTTGGCTCGTCCTCTCACCACTGTCACTTTCTCATGCATAGCATGTGTATTCAGCTCTGCCCTTTCCCTTCTTTGAGGCAGCCCTGGGAAAGACCAGAGCTCTTGAGCCTCTCAGGCTCGAGTTCTATGCCTTTTGCTCTACTGATCCTTGCAATTATTGACTATCAGAAACTTGCTGTAGGATTTTATATTTATCCCAAATGTCAGAATCATTTTGAATTTTTAATCTTGCTTTCTCTGATATTAGCTATGCCTGCCAGTTTTGTATCACTATACGTTTAACATTCTTCTATGTATTCATCCATGTCATTGAATTAAAAAATCCCTAGCAGCAAAAGATCAAAGAGAAAATTTTGTAGCCCAATTTAGTTTAAGTTATACCAAATATTTATCCCTTCCTTGATGTAGTTGTAAATCTACTTAGTAATATTATTATATGCTCTACATTTCTCCATATCATCCACCTATAAACAACCACTGAGACACTGGAGGAAGGAAGTACTAAATGAAGACAAGGATGTAGTATTTGTATTTATTCTTCAAGGAGTGGCCAAGTAAGAAGGTGAAGGCAGCCCAAGAAGAGAGGTAGACCTATGTATTCTCCGCTAACTAAGAGGCCATGCCTGATGGGATTTGCTGGCTTGGACTCTATTCGAATGGTAGGCTGCTTCTATCCATTACCAAAAAATATGGGCAGGACAAAGGCCAGTGTGTTCAATGCAGAGAAAATTGCTGGATTTACCTAGAATAGCTGTGTCTTAATCTGGGCTGCAATAGCAAATTGTAATAGACTAGGAAGCATAAACAACCATATAGCTTGCTGTTTTGAAAACTGGGAAGCCAAGATCAAAGAGCCAGCAGATTCACTGTCTAGTGAGGGCCCTCTTGCTGGTTTGCAGGTAGCTACTGTGAACCCCATACATCTAAGACAGGTCTGAATTTAGAAAGTTTATCCAAGGTTAAAGAGACATGCCTATGATATAGCCTGAGGAGGTCCTGATGACATGTGCCCTAGGTGGTCAGGACACAGCTTGGTTTTATACATTTTAGAAGACATGAGACATCAATTAATATATGTAAGTTGTACATTGGTTCAGTCCAGAAAGGCGGGACAACTTGAAGCAGGGAGGGGGCTTCCAGGTCACAGGTAGATAAGAGACAAATGGTTGCATTCTTTTGAGTTTCTGGTTAGCCTTTCCAGAGGAAGCAATCGGATATGCATTTATCTCAGTCAGCAGGGGGATGACTTTGAGTTCTGTCTGTCCTTTGTCCACAAGGCAATTCCTTGTGAGGGAGGCATGGAGCTTTTTAATCGTTTTTTAGAAATGGAATGAGAGACAGGTTTTCCCTAAGAAGTTCCCAGCTTGACTTTTCCCTTTGGCTTAGTGATTTTGGGGTCCCAAGATTCATTTTAGTTTCATACTGCCTCCTTGCTATAACCTCACTGAGGCCAGGAGAGAGAGATCAGCTCTCTCATGTCTCCTAAGAACACTAATCCTATTCATGAGACTGGGACCCCACCTCCAAATACCATCACATTGGGGATTTAGGCTTTGAAATATGAATTTGGGGAGAACACAAAAATTCAGCCCATACAAAGTAATCACTGAAGATTTTGGAGGAGTATACAGATATAATCATAGCTATACCTTAGGATGGTTAACTCTTTAGCAGCAGGGTAAATGATGGCACGGAGAGGTTGAGATCCCAAAGGCAGCAAAAGCAGGTTGGACAAGATTTCAAAAGTGCAGGTGAGAGAATGTGGAAGCCTGAAGGTGGCAGTGGCAGTTTGCATAAATGAGATAAATGTAAGGAGACCCTTCAGTAAGACTTTGGCAACTGACCAGGTATGGCGTGAAGAGAAAGCTAGGGGAAGGAGGAGTCTAAGATGACACTGAGATTTCTAGCCTGTGTAACTGAGAGAATGGTCGTTGGATTTACCAGGATAGGGAACTCAAGAGAAGCTGCAGCCTGGGGAGAGGAGAAATAATGAGTTCCAGTTTAGACTTGTGGCATTTGGAGTACCTATGGAACACATCAAGTTGGTGGTCAGGAGAAAACCCAGAGCTACAAATGATGATAGGAGAGTCAATGGAATCAATATAAGAATGGAAGCCACGAAAAGAGATGAGATCTCCCTAGAAGAGAACATAGAAAGAAAATGACAAAGGGGTTAAAGATAGATCCTGGGTGGGTACCACCATTTATAGACCAGGCTGAAGAAAAGGGAAAATTAAAGCAACAATGTTTTCAGATAGTTAAGAAAGAAGAATGGAGGAAGAGGAGACCTCAGTCAACCTCTACTATCACCCCAAAGTAAAAAAGCACTGAAAAGGAAGAGCAAATAGAAATTTAAAAGCAAGAAAAAGAGCTGAGTACTTATCAAGTGCCAGGCATTGTACTAAGCTTTTTATATACATCATGTCATTGTGTTAATTGCAGGTTTTCAGTGTAAAAAGAACAGTTAAATGGCTCCAGAGGTTCAGATTGAGGTAACTCATTATACCTCACAGAGTAGTGTTAAGTATCATGTAAGATAATATATTTAAAGTTACATAGCTGATTACATGGGCAATCAGTAAGAGTCATTATTATTATTTCTTTGGACTTACTTTTATAATATCTGTCTTCCCTGACAGAAAACCCCATGAGTCCAAAGACCATGGCTATTTTAACATTTTTGTTGCTCAGTTTTTTTAACTAAGTATTATTGATGTCTGTGTATAGTAGACACTCAATATTAGTTGAATGACTGGATGATCACATTTCGTCTACATATCCTTGCCTGTGGGCACCTCTTTAGTCCTTAAAGAAGAGGGGATGAATTCTCATATACACACTGGTACATTTGAAGTCCCTCAGTTTTCACAAGAGGATGTCCTTCTTAACCACACTTTAATTGCTTTAATTAAAAGATATAGGTCTGTCATGGAATCAACCTAAATGCTCAACAATGATAGACTGGATAAATAAACTGTGGAACACATACACCATGGAATAGTATGCATCCATAAAAAAGAATGAGATCATGTCCTTCGCCGGAACATGGATAGAGCTGGAGGCCATTATCCTTAGCAAACTAACACAGACACAGAAAACCAAATACTGCATGTTCTGACTTATAAGTGAGACCTAAATGATAACACATCGACACATAGAGGGGAACAATGCACACTAGAACCTACTGGAGGGCAGAGGATCAGGAAAAATAATGGATACTAGACTTTATACCTACGTGATGAAATAATCTGTACAACAAACCCCCATGACACACATTTACCTATGTAACAAACCCGTACATCCTGCACATATACCCCTGAACTTAAAAGTTAAAAAAAAAAAGATATAGCTCTGTATTTAACTAACTGGAGACTTACTAGAAAAATAGTCTCTAATTCACTGCTGCCCATTAGTTTTTAGAAACTAAACTGAGAAAAACTATACCAAGGAAGGAGTCTTGAAAGATACACAGTCTATCTACTCTTCTAGGAAACTATTTTTGTTGAGTCAGACACTGCTCTAAGTACTTGTTACACAGTCTCATTTAATCTTCATGATAATCTGAAGCATTAGGTACTATAGTATTATTAACCCAGTTTTTCAAATGAAGGCACGAAAATTTAGACCACACACCTAGTAGGCAGCACAGCTGGTTTCCAACCTAGGCAATCTGTCCTGTACTCTTAACCTTTCATTATGCTGTCTCTCTCAAGTTCAACTGCAGCTGAATCATAATGCCTACCTCTTCCATTCTATTTCAGAGTCTTGTTTTTGTGAGTTTTGCTTATATGAAACCTATATTAAGTTGATATGAGGTCTCATATTAAGAACAGTATCATCAGGAAACAATAGATACTGGAGAAGATGTGGAGAAATAGGAATGCTTTTACACTGTTGGTGGGAGTATAAATTAGTTCAACCATTGTGGAAGACAGTGTGGTGATTCCTCAAGGATCTAGAACCAGAAATACCATTTGAGCCAGCAATCCCATTACTGGGTATATACCCAAAGGATTATAAATCATTCTACTATAAAGATACATGCCCATGTATGTTTATTGCAGCACTGTTCACAATAGCAAAGACTTGGAACCAACCCAAATGCCCATCAATGATAGACTGGATAAAGAAATTGTGGCACATATATACCATGAAATACTATGCAGCCATAAAAAGGGATGAGTTCATGTCCTTTGCAAGGACATGGATGAAGCAGGAAACCATCATTCTCAGCAAACTAACACAAGAACAGAAAACCAAACAATGCATATTCTCACTCATAAGTGGGAGTTGAAAAATGAGAACACCTGGACACAGGGAGTGGAACATCGCACACCAGGGCCTGTCAGTGGGTAGGGGCCTGGGGGAGGGATAGCATTAGGAGAAATACCTAATGTACATGACAGGTTGATGGGTTCAGCAAACCACCACGGCACATGTATACCTATGTAACAAACCCGGACATTCTGCACATGTATCCCAGAACTTAAAGTATAATTTAAAAAAAGAAAAATTTTAAAAAAATAACAGCACCATGATACTCACCACTGAATCATTGTTTATCCTGTTACGTTGTTTACAAGAACCCAAAGGAAGAACTCCTGTCTGGTCACTATACCAGAAGTATTCTGCTTATCCTTTAACCATTGGTTTGCTTTTGATCTTATAGATATTGACCACCATTTCCTTATTGCATTGACTGTTAGACAATTTAGAATGAAGCATGTAATTCCTGCCTCTATTTTATATCACCATATTTATTTCCTTCCTGCTTCCATTCCAACTTCTTGCTGATGCTAGCTTACTTTATTTGATGAAAGCTGATTTTTGGAACAAAATAGGAATACATAAACACACCTCACTGCATTTTTGTGAGACGATTATTAACCTTCATATAGATGAGAAAACTGACACTTGGAAACATTTAAAGTGTCCAAGTATGTAACATAGTTTAGTTCTTAATATTCTGCTGACTTATATTTGTAACCTGACTTTCCCCTAGGCCACACAAATTTGAGTGGAGAGAGATATTTATAGTAATCATCCAAGGTTTACTCCTGTGAGCTCTGTGACCTCATGCAATCTGTCTGTGCCTGTTTCCTCAAATGTAAAATGGAAATAATAATGTACTTACCACCCACCATGGTTGGGCAGATGAAGAGTTAATTTACGTAAGGTGTTTAAAACAGTTCCTGGGACATGCACAATATAACATTATCATCTCTGTCTCCTTCTCCTTTTCTTCCTCCCTCTCTTCTTCCTTCTCTCTCCTTCCTCCACCTCCTTGGCTCTTGTGTCTGTTGTATATGGAGGACCTCCATCCCCTCTCAGGGGGTCAAACTTATTTCTAAGGCTCCCCAGTGAGGTCTCATGGGGGCTGTCAATTTATGTGCTTCCCCTCTAGCCTACTACATTGGTTTCCAGTTCTGTGAATGCTACTTGAGGGTTTCCCACCCCAGCCCTTGTGTGCAACTATTGACATTTGTGACTAGGATGCTTTTTCCCAATACCAAAAAACATCCAAATCCTTAAAGTGTGCTATTCCCTGGTGTCCTGGCTAAGACATTGCTTTCATGTCACAACCGTGTCAGTTCTTACCACCTAAGCTCTGATGTCATACTCCCTCTGCCCAACATTTCCTTTATCCCCTCGCTTTATGGAATTGAATATCTATATTGATGGAGCTGGGCCAAAACCAATACCCTAAGCAGACACCACACAGCCCTCTCCTTCCCCATGCATCCTCTTCTCCCTCATGCAATATCCCCCCTTCCATTGTTCTCCTTCTATCAAGTCCCCTCCCAACCAGTTCACCAGGCACCTGCAGCCACGCATAACTCCCACTGGGGATCAGCAGACAACCTCCTACAGAAGACTTGTTGTTCCTTGTGTTGGTGGGCATGCCCCAGGTAGATTACAAATTACATGGGGTTGGAGAGCATGTCTGAGAATTCCTCACCTTCACAGCACTTAGACTGAGTTCAGAGGCAGCTCACAAGAAGAGTTGCTGATTGACTAGCTTTGATAGCTCATGGCCGAACCAGAATGAGAAACTTCTTTGGGGACAGATATATTGTCTCTGGTTTGTCTGTGCTTGGTTCATTGTTTGTGTTTAGTCACCCCAGATTGCTCAGGGCCATCCTAGTTTTAGCCCTGAAAGTCCTGTGCCCCAGGAAGCCCCTCAGCCCTGAACAAACTGGATTGTTGATCACCTAGCACTAGGATGCCCTTTACACTTCAGACAAGATGCTTCATGTATACTCTCATTCCAAACTCTTGCCTCTGTCCTACTGCCCTGGACACACAGGCTTACATGAGTCACACCATCATTATCTGATTCCCTGTTTCCCCAGCTTGTATCAGGACATATAAATTATTGGTCCACAGTTCCTCCAGACTTAACAGCCTGTTGGAAAAGGTTCTCATCCTCTTCTCTCAGCTTTGTGACCTTCACAATTATTGCTCTTCTTGACATTTTTACTTTTCTTTAACCAGCAAAGGGCCTTGGTAGAAACACAGTGCTTTTAACCACAGGAAGCTGAATTTCAGATATTGCTGGATTCTGCCTTCTGAAGCCTCGTGGAATGATCAGCACTTAATGCATTTTTTACTGCTATATTGGATTGTCATTCTTGGAAAGCAACAGCTGAGGAAAGTCCCTGGTACATGAGCTCCTTACACCTTGTTATACTCCCACAGCCATAATTGCTTCTTTCACACTGACATCTTCAACCCTTCCACCAGTACTTGCACCCAGCATGGCCTCACCATCTGCTCATGTGACACCAACATTATGGCCTCCCTCCATGCATTCCTAAATGGAGCTGAGGAAGGCAACAGAGATAGCAAGTGTGCCAGCTGGCACCAGTGACATAAACATAGACAGTGATAAATCATATCTCAGGACAGGGAGGAAGAAAGGAGTATGCTGATGGCTAATTGTGTGGCATCATCAGTGCAGTGAGATGGATCTCTCTGCTCATGGAGACAGAATCAATGTGTGTTGTTTCTGTTCCTGCAGTATGTGCATCAGTTTCCTTTAAAAATATGGTCACAGGAGGCCGGGTACGGTGGCTCAAGCCTGTAATCCCAGCACTTTGGGAGGCTGAGGCAGGCGGATCACGAGGTCAGAAGTTCGAGGCCAGCCTGGCCAACATAGTGAAACCCCGTCTCTACTAAAAATACAAAAAATTAGCTGGGTGCGGTGGTGTGCGCCTGTAATCCCAGCTACTCAGGAGGCTGAGGCAGGAGAATTGTGTGAACCTGGGAGGCAGAGGTTGCAGTGAGCCGAGATTGTGCCATTGCACACCAGCCTGGGCGACAGTGCGAGACACCGCCTCAAAAAAAAAAGGTCACAGGAGAATGTTCAATAGAAAATCAACTAGAAATCAAAATCTGAGTTGTTCTATTTCTGCTTCTGTGCATCTCTAAATAGCATTATTGGGGGACTTCCCAGGGAGTTTGAGGATTGCTTGAAAATGACAGGGAAGGCCGGGCGCGGTGGCTCACGCCTGTAATCCCAACACTTTGGGAGGCTGAGATGGATGGATCACTCGAGGTCAAGAGTTTGAGACCAGCCTGGTCAACATGATGAAACCTTGTCTCTACTAAAAATACAAAAAATTAGCCAGGCGTGATGGCATGCACCTGTAATCCCAGCTACCGGGAAAGCGGAGGTTGCAGTGAGCCGAGATCCTGCCACTGCACTCCAGCCTGGAAGACAGAATGAGACCCTGTCTCCAAAAAAAAAAAGAAAGAAAGAAAGAAAGAAATAAAGAAAAAGAAAATTACAAGGAAGAGTTTCTGGCTTCTGGCTGCTCGGGGGAAGAGCCAAGGCAAGCCAATTCATGCTCGTGGTGGGTGGTCAGTTCTGTCACATAAGCTGCTGAAGCTCCCACCTACCACTACCACCCTTTGGGTCTCCAAGGTTCTCTGTTCTTTATGTCCTGCAAATTTTTATAAACTTTTAATTTATCCAGTTCTCTCTGAATGCTGCTTCCGGGATTAAATCAGCTAGGCAACTATTCAAGATTTGTTCTATAGATCTCAAATTTAGGCATGTAATGCTTTCTTTGTTGTTAGATCTTCATTTATTTCAGTGTATTTGGTGTTAAGATAGTTCTGTTTTAAGAGCTTCCATTCCTTGTGTTTGTCTTGAGTTCTTTTCCTATGTATAAGTTTTTGCTTTCATTTACCTCATTTTCACTTTTTTTTAGAAAAAGGAAGTGGTAGCACAAAGATACCCATAAAATACAATCCTCTTCCTACGAAAGAGGAAGCTAGATGTCATTTTGATTTTTATTTTTTTATCCAGAAGCCCCCATAGATCTTGCCTATTCCCATTCAGGTATCTCCCAAGAGCTGATGAAGCCAAGAGAGACAAAATTGTTTCCAGCCACATGGATGAGACACATGACACACACAAAAATCCCAGATCAGCCCTTTGCAGGGGGACAGACGGAACTCCAGAGACAGAGCCTTAAAACTGTTGGAAGCCTGGTGTTATTTCATCTTCAAAACATCAAGTCAACTGGCTATGTTCCTTGCCATCAGGTCAACTCACTTAACAAGTCAAGCATAAAAGAAACAGTAACTTCATAGCTTTGATTTTATAAACTAGCTGCAATCAGGAGCACCTATTAGTAGGGGTAGCTTTGGAGTATCTCTCTCAATCTTTCAGGAAACATATTTATCCAAGTCTCTTCTCTGTTGCTATAAGGAAAATAAATAAACCAATTACTTCAAACAGCAGAGAAGGCTGGCATAAAGGTTGGTGATTTACATGTGGCCCCAATAAACAACTCCAAGCATGGAAAAACACATGGAAGTGTCCAGAGATTACTGGACAGTCCAAAGTTGTGATTGGAGATCCACATCTCTGGGAGCAGAAAACGCTAGATACTAGAAGAATGTAATCCATAAACAGTCAGAAACAAGTCATGTGTAAGGGCTAGTGAATGAAGAGATGGTTTGTGGCCTAATTGGAATAAAAGGAAAGGTAGCAATGGATGTAGCTAAAAGGTAAACACCTTTAGATAAGATGGTTAGAAATTTGTACTTGAAGCTGGGTGCAGTGGCTCATGCCTGTATAATCCTAGCACTTTGGAAGGCCGAGGTGGGTGGATCATTTGAATTAAGAATCTTCCCTGTCCTTCCAATTTCTCCTCTTTTGATGCCTTTCCTCTTTGGTATCTCTGTTATAATGTGTCTCAAGTACAAACTTCTGTCTGGTTTTGTTTTGTTTTGGAGACAGAGTCTCTATGCAGCCATAAAAAATGATGAGTTCATGTCCTTTGTAGGGACATGGATGAAGCTGGAAACCATCATTCTCAGCAAACTATCGCCAGGACGAAAAACCAAACACCACATGTTCTCACTCATAGGTGAGAATTGAACAATGAGAACACTTGGACACAGGAAGGGGAACATCACACACCGGGGCCTGTTGTGGGTAGGGGAGGGGGGAGAGATAGCATTAGGAGATATACCTAATGTAAATGATGAATTAATGAGTGCAGCACACCAACATGGCACATGTATATATATGTAACAAACCTGCACATTGTGCACATGTACCCTAAAGTAAAATAAAAATATACATAAAAAAAATAAAATCTTTGATGTGAAAAAAAAAAAGAAAAAAGAAAATGATGCTAATCTGCTACTGTATGGAAGAGTTGCAGAATTACTATCCCAGAAGTAGAGGCTGTGCTGGTTCCAGAGAATGGTTTATAGTGGGGCAGAGGGTAAAGGCTGTGCTTCAATGCTGTGGCTAAAGCAATGGATAGGAAAATGGATGAGGATGCCAAAAATTGCCTCTCTGTGCTAGAGTTTAGCTACTTTGCCTCCCCCATCACTCTCTACCTTTTCGTATAAGATGCAGTTTTAGATCCTGATACAGCTCAGCTTTTGCTTTTTTCCTACAGATCAGGAAATGTGGGTTTCTAGTCCTGGCTTTCACACTAACCAGCTGTGTGGCCTTGGATTAGTCATTCTGGGGCTGAAATAAGAACTTTAGTCTTCTTAAGCCCTGAAAAGATTATGATTTCCCTTTACTGCCTTATATGTACTTCAAAATACAAACAACTTTAAGCCATAGATATCTAAAGATGTCCTACCAAGTTCTGATTTTTTTTCATAACTTTGATACCTTTAAACAAATCAACATTTAAAAATATATTTTCTTCATTTTAGTTTGCCTGTTTTGTTAATGCTCAATCTAAGCACATGTTTAGTTTAATTTTTGGATAATCAGGCAGTGGTCAGTTCCACTTTCCTCATCTATGAAATAAAGGTGTCAGACAGGAAGAACTCTAAGATATCCCCCAGCTTAAGTTTCTGTAATTTCATGACCTCAAATGTATTTTCTATCTACCTTTATTCACCATCTTATCTTGGCATTGGTGATTTCCAAATATGAATGGAAAAACATGTTACATTTCCATATCCCCTCAGTTCCACATACCTGCTAAAAACTATATCTAAACTTCGGTGAGTATCTAGGACATCTGAGTCA
The DNA here is from genome assembly GCF_000001405.40 of Homo sapiens. Lineage (NCBI taxonomy): Eukaryota > Metazoa > Chordata > Mammalia > Primates > Hominidae > Homo > Homo sapiens. Next base: position 101,269,172 of record NC_000009.12, read on the forward strand.
AAACAAAAGGATAACTGTGTCTTTTTTTTTTTATGTCTGTCTAAATCTTACGAAGGCTATATTTCTATAATAAGATACGATCATCAGCAAAGTCCTTGACTTACTGGCAGAAACCATTTTGGAAAAAGATAAAAGTTATGACTGATGTAGAATACCTGCCAATAACTTAGGGTGTCGAAATTTCCCTTAACCCATCTAGGATTTAGCTTTCCTGTTAATTTCTTCATTTGTCCATTCCTTCGTTTACTCGTGGTTTACCTACCTTTCATATTTCATAAGGTAAGTCTACCTGTAATATTATATGAAATTGCTCATGAACAGTTCTCACATCTATGTCTTGACAACTCTTTTGCCACTGCCTTTTGACTTTTCACCTCTGTCCTAAATGGCTATAGTGCCTTGGTTCCCGTGCATACTCTGAGACTCTGAAAGGGTGGCAGCAGGGGCTGAAGCTCTCTACAAGCCTGGCTGGGATCTGCCTTTCAGATGGGAGCTGCTCATTATTTGCTGGAAGGTTTATAGAACAGATGTTACAAGGCAGACAAGCAAGCACACACTCCCAGAGCACGCTGCGCCTGGCACGCACACACTCGCCAATACCAATATCAGGAGAGCCGCTGCTGGGGTGATGGAGGGAGTGTGCTCTGAGGGGCAAGGGCTGCTCCGAAGCCCTGCTAATGTCTCTGTGTGGCCATGCTGTATTTTCAGCTTGTCATCATGGCTGGGACAGTGCTGCTTGCCTACTACTTCGAATGCACTGACACTTTTCAGGTGCATATCCAAGGATTCTTCTGTCAGGACGGAGACTTAATGAAGCCTTACCCAGGGACAGAGGAAGAAAGCTTCATCACCCCTCTGGTGCTCTATTGTGTGCTGGCTGCCACCCCAACTGCTATTGTAAGTACAGAAATAGACTTTCCTCTTTATTGTCAGATACCCAAGAATATTTTCTGTCTGCTTTTTCTCCTCTTTCTTCTCTTCCTGAGCATTCACCAGCAGTTTTATCAGTGGCATCCTATTTCAGCCAAAACAGAGTGAATGGAGCTCTGCAGAAAAACTCATTAACATAGGTCTTGTCTTGTATGGGTGGCTTTTGTTTTTCGGTATCTGAATTTTAAAAAGATGTTTTTTTTTAAAAAGCATGTGAGAATGTTATAAATCAACAGGTATGATTGGCTAATGTGTTAAGAACAGCTATTGTCCTCTTGAAAAAATATGCTATGAGTTGCAAGTATTCACAAGAGATTCTGAATGTAAGTGCTGGCACTGATATAATGGCTGAGATTAGAGTAGAATAGAATCCCTCAGGCCGATATTTCCTGCTGTTCTCATTGAACTTCCGTAGACACCAGAGATGAGAGAAATTGCTTAACCTGAAGTTTGCTGTGATTCATTCTTGATGGCTCTGGCTCTGTTCACATTACATCACATTAAATTAAGTTGCAACTTTACCTTCATATATTTCATTTTCCCTTTCATGAGGCAAAAAATGGGCCACACAGTCCTCTACAGAGATTGCTTAACAGCATAAAGTTTGCAGATCTGTGTTACCTGGTCAAGTGATTTAACACTTAGACATTTTAATTTTTATTTTTTAAAATGATATTTGGGGGAGTTTTAAATTAAGTGTTTCTGCCTAAATATGCCATAAGGTCAGATTAGTCAGGATGTGATCTTAGTTCCCATTCCCCTCCTTCTCTTCTAACAGCTGACTCCCTGAACGCTCCCTCCTCCCCTACCTGCCCTCTATTCGGCAGTAATAAAAATACTGACTGGCATGCCGAGGAATATAGCAATTGCTTAGATATTCAGTTCGAATATTAGTTTTTTGTGCCAATGTTTTGCTTGCTTTCAGATGAGAAATGGAATAGAATTTTGAAGATAAATAATATGGGCATAATAAATTCATTTGGCTCATTGACCCCAGGCTCTACAAAGCTCTCCCTTAAATGATAGGACTGTGCTGTAAGGACTAAGATCAGCATTGATGAGCCACAACATGATGTATCAGAAGGACTAAGAAACAAGCTTTGCTGCCTAACACACCTGGATTCACATCCTGACTTTGGGCAAGTCACCTCACTGTTCCCTCCCATACAAAATAAGGACAACTGAATGCTTACCTCATGCGTTGCTGTGGGGCTTAGAAATGACTTAGCGCAGTGCCTGGCATTTACGAAGTGTTCAGGAACAGGGAAACAAAAAACCTGGCTGGAACTGCTCTTTGCCCTCTTTGGAATCACAGACCAACTTCCTACTTCTGAAAGGAATGAAATTCCACTGAGAACCCTCATTAAGACCTCTTCTCTCCAATTCTAGAGTGAAGGGAGATATGCCCATTCCTCAGAGGAAGGGTAATCTCTGTATGTCTCTTACCAGCCTACAGAATAAGAGAAAGCATACAGGACACCTTTCCATGTACCTCACAATGTGACACACTCCACACCCCACGTAAAACTAGGAGGCCAGACTCGGTTCTGTCTGGTATGGTTTCATGGTGGCTCTACCTGGAGGCTGTGGGCTCAGTCTAGAATTGGGTCCTGGTTTCTTCCTGTCTCATAAGCATATCGCTTTCCTGTGTATTCAGACAGGCATCCCTGAGTGATCCATTGACTTACTGACATATTTCCTCTCTTCTTCCCAGTCTCAGGAAATTTCATTTATCGTTGCCTAGGTTCTCCTTTAGTTACTTTTTATAATTATAGAGATTGTTTTACATTTTAAAAAAATATAAAAAAGGGAAGGAAATGGATTAATAAAAATTGTGGCAGAAAGTTAGTCAGAAAATAGAATTAATAAATTAAATGTACATCTGCCTGGCTAGTCTATAATAGAAAGTCAGACATACAAATACAGTTAAGAAAACATATACTTAAAAATGAAAATATAAACTTAAGACTTATTTAAGTTGTATATACAATTCTGTGCCAATAAATGCTTACATCTCAATAAAATTGAAAACTCTATGAAGATATTTACTAGTGATGCCTTATATCAAATTTTTTAAAAGATGTAGCAAAGCTGAATATATGAATGCCAACAGAATAAAATTTTAAACATGCCAAAATATTTCTCAAAAAATAGTACTCAGGACACACAGCTGTGGAATAATTTTCCTCAAACATTTGAGGAATAAGAAATCTCAAACAATATAAAATGTTTCAAGGCCTTTTCATAAATGAAAAACTTTTCCGTGCATATTACAAACAAGAAAAATATGTATGTAAAGCGCTTAGAAAGTGAGTCCACATAAATACCCACAAAAGCACTCTGAATAGTAACAATAACTCACTTAGCAGTGTTGATGCAAGCATATAAAAACAAACTGGTAGATTTGCCTACCTAAGAATAAAAATTTCCATCAGAAGTAAAGACTGCAAAAAAGTTTGCCACATAGGAGACTCAAATGTAAATACCCTTAATACTTAAAAAGATGAGCTTCCCAAAATCAAAATGAGAGAGGACAAGAATAGACAACTAACAACCAGCAATCAATAGACTGTGTGCATATAAGTATTTCTAAATTCATCACTAACCAAAGAAAAATCATTTTTTAAAGGATACAGCATTTTTCTCATATAAAATTGGCAAATGTTTTCAAAGAACTTAGTCTATGTTTACAAAATGTAGAGACTTTCATGTAATTCTAGTCAAAGCATAAACCAATATTTTCTTTCTGAAGAGCAGTTTGTTAAAGATGTATTAAGAGCTTAATAAACTTCAGACCCAGTCATTAATTACATTTTCTAGATTTATAAAAATACAAAGATTTGTATATAGGGATGTTCATGTCAGTAATAGTTTTAATAATTAGAAACTAGGAACTAGCTAAATACACAATACCAGACTGGTTTAATACATTATGTGCCAGCCATGTTTTTGAAACACCTTAAGTAATGATGGAACATGTTTGTAATTTAATATTAGGATTTTTTAAGGCCAAAAAATTGTATGCAGTATTGTGGGTAAGATCTTTTTCTCTTCTGTAAGAGAATCTGACCTCACAATTTTCTGCCTGTTTCCCCTAGAAAAAGATAATATGTATCAATTATGTCACCAGGTAAAATTGAGCCCTTATTGGTGAATTGCATCTGTTCTCAGATAACTGTTATGACCTGAGAGAGTGCTTCTGCTATGACTTCCAATAACAGTGACTCTGGTAACTTGGCATATCTATTGTGGATCCCCGGAAACTATGCCTATGGAGTTGTTACACCATATATTGACTCCTACAGGGCATGTGGCTTTTCAGCCAGGGTAATTCCTGCATCCTCTGAAATGTATGTAGCCCCCATTCACCTGAGCTGTATTGTTCTGCTGGACCACTGCAAGGACATGTGCTAAAGATAAGCAGGCAATGCTACCCTGCCGGCAAGCTGTGGTTTCTTCCAAGTGGACCAGCACCAAATGTAGTCTGTGGATCTGAATATTTAACATATCCTAAGAAGATACATTGTGGATGTTGCAAGTATAATCCCAAATTTATAATTATAAAAGGAATAGAAAGAAAGTAAACATTTTCAACTATTATTTCTGAATGGTAATGTTAGTTTTTGTTCTTCATTTATACTTTTATATATTTCTTTCCAAATTCTACATGAATGTATATTGGTTTTAAACCAAAGACATACCTCTAAAACAAATTATATAGTCCATTTCTTTTGGCAATAATTACAAAATGACCAAACTTTAATAAGACTTGAAAATGGCAATTCTAATAAAAACATACATCACCAAAACTTTACAAAGAATTTTCTCTCCTCTCAGAGTAAAAGTGATAGGTCTTCTTTATTTTAAGATTTTCAGCAGAAGCTCTTCTCCAGGCTACAGCTTTTGATCTTATCTCTTCCATTAATTCATTTTCCCCAAATGACACAAATTGAAATGTAGTACAACTGCTCCCATGGAAGTCAATGTGATTTGGTCAGTGGACAGAGCATTAAGCACCTACAGTTCTACTCTAGTTCTCGATTATGAAACCCCGATTCAGCTTTTTCATTCCTTTGATAATACTGACAAACCCCCCAAATATATTACATAAATGATGGTCACAAGAATAACATCTTTTAATATACTTATATTCTGCAGACATGGCCTAATTTATCCTCAGAACAGCCAAAGAACATAGAGAAAGTGTGTGGTCCAATTTCTTTCATTTTGAGTTGAGACTGTTGAGACTCAAGTAGGTTAGATGATTTGCTGAAGGTTCCACCTGGTTCTGTACATGATTAGACAGCCACCCATTTGGTTCCACTTATTTTCCTCGCAAATGAGGGGCATTGGTAGGAACCAGGGCTGATTGCAGCTGATAGGTCAATGGCAAAGAGCAGCGTGGCCTTGCTACCCTGCTAATGGCGCTTGATTTTCCCTCAAGACCTAAAAATACATGAGCAGCAGCAAGACAGAAAACAGAAGACCTTTTCTGATAATGCTCAGGGAAGTTTCATGGGAACAGTTTCCTGGGAACAAGGAGTTGCATTCACTTCTCCTGTCCTATCCTGGTGAGGTATGACCTGTTGCAGCTCCCAAGTGCCCACCTCAGCACACACTCCTGCTTCTGAGTATGCATCCTCCACTCTCCTCACAATGCAGTCATCTTTTCCCAGGTTTAATAAGACTAGAGAGGCAGGTCTCATGTCACAGCTTTGCCCCCAGTAACTGTGTGACCTCTGATAAGCCATGTTCCTTCTGTGGGTTCAGTTTCCTCATCTGTACCCAAAAGAAATGGTTAGGCTAAATGATCTCTAAGCACCTGCCAGTTCTCAGATTCCATGAAAACTGAAAAATGAACATTCTCATCAGAAGCTAACATTTGGAGGCTTCCAAACTCCCAAATCATGACTCTCTTTCTGGAGTTTGATTTTGCACCTCTGTGCCGGATTAAGTGTTTCACAGAACTGCACAGTTGTTTATTCCTTCTTAAAACCATTTCCTGTTCTCTATGGAGTATAATGAAGCGTGACGCCTCTTGGGTGATCTGTGAGACACTAACTAACATCAAATCTCAAAAGTGTAGCTCAATGTGGACTTGTCTGTCCTTGGTTTTCTGTGCTCCCTCAAGCACATTGACCATGGAAGAACCTAGCACCCTGCACTGCTGCGCGTCTGCAGATGTGCACTAATGACCCCATTCACAATTGCAGGGATGCACAAGAAATGCTTGAGGGGAAAGACTCTGCTGTATATTCAACCTGTCATTTCCTATTTCTCCTTTTGTGCTTTGCTGTCAGAAAAGATCAGCATCATATTGAGACACGGCCACATGGGATAAATCGCAAAAGGCCAAGGCCACTGCTGTCCCAGATCTTCAGGAAAGGTTAGAGCATGGGGGATTTACTGTGTCCCCGTTTAGCCCAAAGTGGCAGTCTATGCTTGAAAGAAATCTGCAGGGTATGTTCTGACCACCTGGAAACCCTGGCTAACTACTGCCTCAGGCCTTCTGAATAAACTCATACACTCAGAGTCAAAGGAAGAGAGCCTGTTTGGATAAGAGGATTTACTCAGCAGAGAATCTGATTTACCCTCATTTTATCTCAGCCCCAGCAGCACAAGGCATGAAAAAAATGGCTATTAAACCTTTTTTCTTGGCTTCACAATGAAGTGACAGGGGAGTATTTAGTATTGAAGTAGCAGAACATGACTTCCAGCCCGAGGATTGAAATAGCTCACATTTTGTATGCAAGTGTGCGCGCATGCATTACAAGACTCATCTAGAATTTCCTAGGAAAGGAAGAGACAAACACAACTTGATAGAAAGGCACAATTTGGAGAAAATTGTGAATCTTCATTTGGGGGTTTCTGGGCCGTAAGCTCTTCCAGCAAATGTAAAAACCCAGAGCACAGTGCAGATCACAAAGTGGGCTCTCAATAATGCAAGCCTGTTGGCTGGCTGACGAGGGGTGCAGCTGCCGAAGCAAAGGAGACATTGTAGGGTCTTGTACTTCCTCATAATCTGCCTTTTCCAGGCTCTGAACAACCTCATCTGTTGAAACTCTTTATAACATTTTATAATTCACATCTTTTTTCCCTTTTGTACATTATCACATGACTTCCTTTTTTAAAAAAAAATTCACAACATTTTCTTTGTTGCTAATATATTCAGTGTTTATAATTTACATTTTTCTGGAAAAAATTTCTAGATATGCCCATTAATTATTGTGGATTTTTTAAAAAACTTAAATCCATTTTCTCATTTTCTGTCCATACTGCAGATGACTGCTCCAAATCTCCTTTAGAGATTGTTTTTCTCCTGACATCATGCCACCAAGAGATATGCTTTCCATCTTCAATATACCCCTCCTAATAATTGATGACTAGATGATTATGTTAAGGAACTTGACAATTTGTTTCTTGGAGAGAATATTGTTTGCCTAAAAATATGTGATTTTCAATGCATTTTACTTTTTACTCTATTTTTACTTCAATGCATTTTACTTTTTACTGAAAGTAGTATTTTAGCTAACTCATTTAAAATTCCCATTTCTCTTGTATTCACTGTTCAGATAAAAAGATATAAGAGAACACTATGCTTTGGAAATATGATACCGCCCTGGTGCTCTATTTTATATCAAGTGCCACCTAAAGACACCTTCTGAACGGGTGGATGTGGCCTCTGGAGTAAGACCAGTAGAGAGGCTCCAGTTTACAAAAACACTTATTATCCCATTTACTGAACTCTTTTCAGAATCATCCAAACAGCCTTGGTTCCATTTAAGCCTTGAGCTTTGAAACGCATAGGAAGTGTCTAGAGCTGAATTGCATCATTTACACCTAAGAGCTCTTGAACTAGCCAAAGTTCTGCAAGTAAGGGGACAGGAAGCTCTCTGCAGGTCTGGGGTTATCAATGTGACAGCACTCATCAGGAAAGATTAAAGTGGAGCATGGAGACATTGGCAGTTAGGGCTAGCAGCAGGGTCTATAGGTTGAAAATCTCCTGGGTAACTTTTAAACAAAATCTAAAACAAAAACCATTTCTGCCTTCTTGGAGATGTTTATTACTATTGAAGCCTCCCAGGGAGAATATTAGAAGTATCTAAAAATCCGTAAGACTGAGAGCCCTGAAACTACTTAGAGACTAATATTGGGGAGTATATAAAGAACTCTCTCCTCTTCCTCAGAGTGTTAGAATATCTAGAGTGTGGGCAAAATCTGATCACCAGCCTCTGCTGTCCTTTAACAACCCAAAGTGACAGAGATATCAGCAAATGTGATGACTTGGGGTAGGCTGTGTCTACTTTGCTTTCAGGGAAGGTTACTTGGTAAGGGTGAAGGCCCATGGGATTGTAGAAGGAAATGATGGCTGAAGGAAGAAGCAATGCAAGAAATCACGCTGGCCTTGGAGAGCTTAACTGACTGAACTGCGATTGAAGCCCAGTTACATGATTTCAGTTTCCCTTAACGAGCCCTCTCTTTTTGGCTCCTATCATAATGGCAAAGATGTTGGAGCTAAAAAAGCACCTTAGGGATCCTGTAGTAAAACTTCTTCATTTGACAGATGAGAAACTGACACCCAAAGAGGTCAAGCAACTAGTCCAAAATTAAACACCTGGTTAGGGCAGAGTCGAGCTAGAATTACACTATATTTCCTTACTCCAGGACTGGGCACAATGATTTCTTTCTCCTGTTTCAACACACATTCTTGCCTGGGTAGACCAGCAAGTACAAACAGAAAACATAGGACATATATATATGCTTTTACATTCACTTTTTAATCCTCTCAACAACTATGTAATACAGTCACTACTTTCATATTCAAATCATTAGAAAAAGAAAAACTGAACCTCAAAAAGTTTCCATTAGTTACCCAAAATCACACATCAATAAAGGAGAGAGCTGAGATTTCAACTCCAAAGCCCGCATTCAGGAAACAGCAAAAACTTTGATATCACCCAGTACTAGAGCCACAACTAGCATATGTATGACCACAAAATATGTATTCTGGGAATTCTAAATGCCCTTTTAAATTGCAACCACATATAACATGCAGTGAAATTTCCTTAAAATACAAAATTATAATACATCTTTCAGTGACTAGTTTTTTCCACAGACTGTTTATATTCTGAAATCTAAAAACTTCCTCTAAACTTTTTGTATTGATATCAGTTATTTATTGCGTACCACATGTTTTTTAAAATATTTGTGAAGAAGAGGGATGGAGCAAGTTGGTGGAATAGTGCTATCCAGTAATCATACCCCCTCCAACTGAAACAACTTGAGCAGCTATCCATGCGCTAAAATAGTAATACCTTCACAAGAGCTAAGTAAACCAGGCGAGAGATCAGAGTAACTGGTTGGAACACAATAATAATAAAAGATGCATTGAAAATGGTAGAAAGGAGAATTTTACATTACCTGCACCACCCCTCCCCCAACCATCACAACATTGAGAGAGACACCATCCACTTGGGGGAAAGAGAGGGGTGTGAGAACAGGACTTTGCCTTGGACCCCAACCCTGGGCCCACCACAGCGAAATCCAGCATCAGGCAGGCTGGCAGGCACCCACAGCCCCAGACTCCAGAGTAGTATCCACAAACTGAGTCCCAGTCCTGGGTGGGACCCTGCAGTCCCAGACTTCAAGCCTGTGAGGCAGAGTTGGTCTCCCAGTTGTACTACCGCTGGCTTGACTTCAGTGTCTATAGGATCTGGACAGGCCAGAGCAGCAGGCAGGCCTCAGCAGCCCCAGGTTTTGGGCATACCCCACCCCTGTAGTGACCCTGCGATTCAGAACCAAGCTTAATGGCCTGTCCAAAATCTCTGAATGGACTGTTGAAGAGCTTTTCCAGCAAAGCCAATCTGCAAAGACTGGAATAAGTACCTACTTCTACAAATGTGTATATCTCAATACGCAGCCCCAAGAACAATCAGTAAAACATGATATCACCAAAGGGACAAAATAAAATGCTGCTAACTGACCATAAAGAAATAGAGATGTTCGAACTCACTGACAAGGAATTCAAAATAACTGTTTTTAAGGAAGCTCAATGAACTTCAAGAAAATACAGAAAAACAATACAAGTAAATGAGGAAAACAGTAAGTGAGCACAATGAGAAATTTAACATTATATTTAGCATTATATAATTATAAAGGGATTAATTCAGCAAGAGAATGTAACAATTGTAAATACATATGCACCCAGCACTGGGGCATGCAGATATACAAAGCAAAAAATTATTAGAGCCAGAGAGATAGACCTCAATGCAAAAATAGCTGGTGATTTCAACACCCCACTTTCAGCATTGGACAGATAGTTCAGACAGAAAATCAATAAAGGAACATTGATCTTAATCTGTAGTATAGACCAAATGGACTTGATATTTATAAAACATTTCATCCAGTGGGAACACAATACACATTCTCCTCCTCAGCACATAGATTATTCTCAAGGACAGGTAATATCTTAGGACATTAAAAAGTCTTAAATTCAAAAAATAGTCATATCAAGTATATTCTCTGACCACAATGGAATAAAACTAATAATCAATAAGAGGAATGTTGGAAACTATACACACACATGGAAATTAAACAATACGTTCCTGAATGATCAGTGGATCAATGAATAAGAAAGAAGTTAAGAAATATTATGAGTCAAATGAAAATAGAAACACAACATACCAAAGTGGATGGAATCAAGCAAAAGCAGTACTAAGAGGGAATTTTATAGCAATAAACTCCTACAGCAAAAAGGTAGAAAAACATCAAACAAACAACATAATGATGCATCTGAAAGAACTAGAAAAACAAGGGCAAACCAAACCCAAATTATGCAAAGAAATAATAAAGATCAGAGCAGAAATAAATGAAATTTATAAAACAATACAAAAGATCGATTAAATGAAAAGTTGGTTTTTTGAAAGGATAACTGACAAACAGTTAGCCAGACCAAGACGAAAAGAGATGACTCAAACAAATAAAATCAGAGATGAAAAAAGAGACATTGCAACTGATACCACAGAAATTAGAAGGATCCTTAGAGACTACTATGAGCAGCTATATGTCAATAAATTGCAAAACCTAGAGAAAATAGATAAACTCTAGACATATACAACTTACCAAGATTGAGCCATGAGGAAATCCAAAACTTGAATAGATCAATAACAAGTAATAAGATCAAAGTCATAGTAAAAAGCTTCTCAGCAAAGAAAAGCCCAGGACCTGATGGTTTCACTATTGAATTTTACCAAACATTTAAAGAAGAACTAATACCAATTTTACTCAAACTATTCTGCAAAATAGAGGAGCAAAGAATACTTCCAAACTTATTATATGAGGCCAGTATTGCCCTTATATCAAAACCAGACAAAGACACATCAAAAAAAGGAAAAGTACAGGCCAATATCCCTAATGAACATGGTTGCAAAAATCTTCAACAGAATACTAGCAACAACACATTAAAAAGATCATTTATCATGGCCAAGTGGGATTTATCCCAGGGATGCAAGGATGGTTCAACATATGCAAATCAATCAATGTGATACATCATATCAGAATGAAGAAAAAAATTATCATTTCCATTAATGCTGAAAAAAGTATTTGATAAAATTCAGCATCCTTTCATAATTAAAAACCCTCATAAAACGGAGTATAGAAGGAACATACCTCAACACAATAAATGCCATATAAAACAGACCCACAGCTAGTAACATACTGAATGGGCAAAAACTGAAAGCCTTTCCTCTAAGATCTGGAACATGATAAGGAAGCCCACTTTCACCACTGTTATTCAATATAGGACTGGAAGTGCTAGCTAGAGCAATCAGACAAAAGAAAGAAAGAAGGAACATCCAAATTGGACAGGAAGTCAAATTATCCTTCCTTGCAGACTATATGATCTTATATTTGGAAAAACCTAAAGACTCCACCAAAAAAAACCTATTAGAACTGATACATAAATTCAATAAAATTTCAGGATACAAAATGAACAAACAAAAAAATGGTAGCATTTCTATATGCCAACAATGAACAATCTGAAAAAGAAATCAAGAAAATAATCCCATTTACAATAGCTACAAATAAAATACCTAGGAATAAACTTAATCAAATAAGTGAAAGAGCTCTACAATGAAACTATAAAATACTGATCAAAAAATTGAGGACACAAAAAATTAAAAGACATTTCATGTTTGTGGATTAGAAGAATATTGTTAAAATGCCCATACTACCAAAAGTGATCCACAGATTCAGTGCAATTCCTATAAAAATACCAACGATGTTCTTCAAAAAAATAGAAAAGAAATAATTCTGACATTTATATGACATCACAAAAGACCCAGAATAGCCAAAGCTATCTTGAGCAAAAAACAAAACTGGAGGAATCATATTACCTGACTTCAAATCATACTACAGAGCTATAATAACCAATACAGCATGGTGCTGCCATGAAAACAGACACCTAAACCAATGGAACAGAATAGAGAACCCAGAAATTAATAAAATAAGAATAAATAGAGACTAGAAAAACAATAGAGAAGAACAAAATGAAGAGTTGCTTTTTTGAAAAGATAGACTAAATTGATAAACCTTTAGACAAGAAAAAAGAGAAGATTCAAAGATTCAAAATCAGAGATGAGAAAGGAAACATTACAACTGACACTACAGAAATACAAAGGATCATATTAGACTATTATGAACAATGATACACCAACAAATTGGATAGCCTAGAAGAAACAGGTAAGTTTCTGGAAACACACACCCTACCCAAGATTAAATCATGAAGAAATAGAAATTCCAAACAAACTAGGTGATTGAATCAATAATATACAGTCCCCCAGCAAAGAAAAGCCCAGGAGCTGACAGCTTTGCTGCTGAATTCTACCAAAAATTTAAAGTAAAACTGATATCGCACCTTTTCTAACTCTCTCCCAAAAAAATTGAAAAGGAGGGACTACTTCCAAATTCATTTTACAAGGTCAGCATTCCCCTAATACCAAAGCCAGAGAAGGACACAACAACACAGGTCAACATTCCTGATGAACATAGATACAAAGATGCTCAAAAAACCCTAACAAATCAAACTTAACAGCACAGTTTAAAAGACCATTTACCATGATCATGTGGGATTCATCCCAAGGGTGCAAAGATGGTTCAACATACACAAATCAATAAATGTAGTACATCACTTTAAAAGAATGAGGAACAAAAACTATATATTTCAATAAATGCAAAAAAATGATTTGACAAAATTCAATATCCTTTTACGATTTAAAAAACCCTCAACAAATTAGGTATAAAGAAATGTAACCCAATACAATAGAGGCCATATGTGGTAAACTCACAGCTAAATTCATGTTCAACGGAGAAAAGTTGAAAGTTTTTTCTCTAAGATGTGGAATAAGACAAGGGTAACTCTCACCACTTCTATTCAACATAGTACATAAAGTCCTAGCCAGAGCAATTTGGCAAGAGAAAGAAAGAAAAGGCATTCAAATTGGAAGCAAAAACATTAAATTTTCCTTGTTTGCATATGACATCCTGTATACAGAAAACCCTGAAGACTCTACTGAAAACTGTTAGAATAAACTGGTTCAGTAAAGTTGCAGGATATAAAACAAAATACAAAAATCAGTAGCATTTCTATATATTAACTGCAAGCTATCTGAAAAAAAGTAAATAATAATCCTATTTATAATAGCTACAAAAAATACTTAGGAATTTAACCAAAGAGATGAAAAGTATCTACAATGAAAAGTATAAAATATTGATGAAAGAAATTGGAGTTGCAAAAGAATGGGAAGATATTCTATGTTCATGGATTGGAAGAATTAATACTGTTAAAATGTTTAATACTACATGAAGCAATCTACAGATTCAACTCATTTGCTACCAAAATATCAATGATACATTTTTTATAGTGATGGGATCTCGCTCTGTTGACCAGGCTAGTCTTGAACTCCTGGCCTCAAGCAATCCTCCAATCTCAGCCTTCCAAAGTGCTACGATCACAGCCGTGAGCCACCACACCCAGCTATCAATGATATTTTTCACAGGATAGAAAAAACAATCCTAAAAGTCATCAATCAAAAAAGACCTAGAATGGCCAAAGCAATCCTGAGCAAAAAGAACAAATCTGGAGACATCACACTATCTGACTTCTAAATATACTACAAGGCTATTAGTAACCAAAACAACATGCTATTGGCATATAAAGAAAGACCAATGGAATAGAACAGAACCCAGAAATAAATCCACACGTTTATAGCCAACTGATTTTCAACAAAGGTGTCAAGCACACCCAATGGGAAAAGGTCAGTCCATTAATAAATTGTGTTAGGAAAACTGGCTATCCACATGCAGAAGAGTAAAATTAAGACTTTATCTCACACCGTATACAAAAATCAACTCAAAATGGATTAAATACTTAATTGTAATACCTAAAGCAATGAGGTCTTACATAGAAGAAAAGCTTCATGACATATGTCTGGGCAATAATTTTCTGGATATGAACCCAAAAGCACAGGCAACAAAAGCAAAAATAGACAAATGGGATTACATCAAACTAAAATGCTTCTGCACAGTGAAGAAAACCAGCAACAAAGTGAAGAGACAACCTACAGAATGGGAAAATGTATTTGTAAACCATATGTCTAATAAAGATTATTAAAATATAAGAAAATCAAACAACTCAATAGCAAGATAATAACCCAATTTAAAAATGAAGAAAAGGCCTAAATAGACAAAAGACAAATGGCCAACAAATATATGAAAAAAAATGCTCAGTATCACTAATCATCAAGGACATGCAAATTAAAACCACATTGAGATATAATCTCACACCTGTTAGAATGGCTATTATCAAAAGATGAAAGATAAATATTGGTGGGAATATAGAGAAAAGGGAACACTTGCACATTGCTGGTAGAAATGTAAGTTAGTACAGCCATCGTATAGGAATCCATATGGAGGTGCCTCAAAAAATTAAAAATAGAATTGCCATTGATCTAGTAGCAATCTATATACCACTACTGAGTGTATATACAAAGGAAATGAAATAAGTATATCAAAGAGATATCTGAACTGCCATATTCGTTGCAGCATTATTCCCAATAGCCAAGATATGGAATCTGCCTCAGTGTCTGGATTTAAAATGATGTGACATATATGCCATTAAAAAGGCAATTCTGTCATTGGTGACAAGATGGATAAACCTAGAGGACATTATGTTAAGTGAAATAATCCAGGCACTGAAAGACAAATACTGCATGATCTCACTTCTAATTGTAGATGTGGAATCTACAGAAGTTGATCTCACAAGAGGAATAAGTTCAAGAGATCTATTACACAATACTGTGACTATAATTAATAAAATATATTCTTGAAAAATTCCAAGTGAACATTAAGTGTTTGTACCACAAAAATGATAACTATGTAAGATCATGCATATGTTAATTAGCTAGATTTATTAACATCACAGTGTACATACACTTTAATGCATGTGTTCTAGAGATGCTTCAGATACTATCTGTCTGTGTGTGTCCGAGTTCCTGAAACCCATAAAGGGAGAACATTATAAATGATTCCAGTTTTGAAATTTTATACTTTTTAATTTCTGTTATCCATGTGCCTTTCATTATGTCATCATCTTTATCCATCTAAACAGACATTCCAGCATGACAGGAGAAATATAAGGTATGGAATTAAAACATTAATAAATTTTCTCTAAAATCACAGGTCTATGTACAGCAAAGATGATCATCTATGAGATCACATTATTCTGGGGAAATGTTAAAATTAGGATTAGGAAAATCAAAATGGCATATGAATAGTGGGAAGTGTGGACTTTGGAATCCAATTGACGTGTATACTAATTCCTGTGCCCCATGCACCATCCATATGCTTTGGAGGGTAAATTACCTAAACTTGCTAAACTGTCACTCCTCAACAGTAAAGCAAGGATAATTATGCCTGCAGGAGGGATCTTGTGAGCCTGAAAAGACTATGCTGAAGTGCCTAACGCCCAGTATTTAATAGATAACGGTAATTAACCTTTTACTTTTCCTTGATGAGTCTCGATCTTCAGTTATGGCAGTGTCATTGTTCATGAAAACTTGTCTCTACCAATTCCTTGTTTTAAATGGGAATACACTGTGCTGGGTGCCATAAGGATACTAAAGAGTTATTAAGATGTAGTCCCTGCTATTAGGGGGCTTCTAATCTACCTAAGGGCATTATAATTTAAAGGGTAACATATATTTATTAGTTTAACGAGAGAGATGCCTATAATAAAGAAGGGCTAATCAACCAGTTCAGGGTAGGAGAAATATATCTGAGGCAATTGTGATCAAATAAGAATTTAGAATGTAAATAATTGTAATGGCACATAATAAAGTAATGCAGTTGAGTAAAGTCCTCACTTAATGTTGTGGTGGATAGGTTCTTGGAAACTGCAAGTTTAAGCAAAACAACATGCTATATAACAAAACTAATTTTACCATAGACTAATTGATATAAAGAAGAGTTAAATTCTTATAGCATACAGTATGTCATTTCACTTAAAGTTCCAGTTTTCACAAACCTGTTGATATAAAGTGAGGTCTTACTGTCACCTCTTGTGATGTGTGTATATAATGCCTTCTTGGGCACATTGGCTGTCTGAATCATTCCTCATCATTGCTACTCACACAGAAAGTTAAAAAAGAATTCAATCCCAGCATGAACCTTGTCATAAATTCTATTACAACTTATTATTTCAATTTGTTTCCATGTGACCTTAGATTTTAATATTATAGGCTGAAACTCTATCTGAAATGATCAATTATCACTTTCTCTAATTCTTTTGAAGTGTTAAATGCAAATTACGATCTAATTCACCATCTCTCTCCAACATCTTTTAAAATGATTGTGGGTCCTCAACAGTTTTGTTTTGTTTTTAAAGCCATGGGCCTCTCTTATCAAACAGATCTCCAACTTGACATTTCTTAAACATTCCTTCCCTAGATTTTTATTGGTGAGATATCCATGTATTTCATAAAATCAACAAGAGAATCCCTGATTGCTCAGGAGAAAACAATTCTGACCGGAGAATGCTGTTACCTGAACCCCTTACTTCGAAGGATCATAAGATTCACAGGTGAGTACAAGATGGTGCTGAACTAAGCTCTCACATAAAAGTAAAATTACTAAAGGCAAACACTTGGTAAAATAAACTATGGAAGTATCAACATTAAAAGCAAGGGCTGCTTTGGGGATTTTCCTGATCCTACTGCCACATCAAATTTTTGACTCTCGAAATGGTACTTCTTAAATTGTCTTATGAATGATTTCAACTGATTTTCCCCCCACATAGCAGTTATCTGAGATTCCCCTGGACGTATGTTTTAATATTGGCTGGATATTGCTATATACCTTTTAGCAGAGTCAGGCAAGGGGTTGGGGTGGGGGAGCATCAGGGGACGCCAATAAAATAAATTTAGAAATAGTCAAATTTCCTGACAGACTTCCCATCCAGTAATTTTGTTATGCAGGGAATTTAACAAAGAGTGGGAAATCTCAGCCATCAGGTTCTTGAAAATAATGCCTTTTCAAAGTTGGAAAACAAATACTTTTATTAGTGTTCATGATAGGGAATAATGAAGGCATATTCTACATCCCTCCTTCTAGGACTTTTATGAAAATTCCTGAGGTGCTAGTGATTAATAATTATAGATATGGGAATAAATGTGTATGGGTACAGGTAAGAATAGAGATCTTACAAAGTTCCTACACATTAAGTACTCTATAAATGATAACTATTACAGTATTCTAATGAGATCCTACAAATACCTCCTGACCAGATTTTTAAGGGAGCCATGATACCATTTAAAACAAGAGAACTGACAACTGAGAAAGTGAGGGTCAGAATACAGCATGCTGTCAAGCCTTTTGGTAATCCTTAATCTTTTTTTCCTGTTGTAGGAAATGATTGAATTTCTTCAAGTAATAAGCAAATACCACATCAAAATCAAATATGCAATAACTTGTCTGGTTGGAGTGGAAATGAAAGAAATAGTGCAGTGGGAAACCTAAGAAAATCTAATTTAAAAGAAGTAACCCTTAACATTAAAATAGTCTCAGGCATTTGATGTTATTTGCAGAATAAAAGTTTTTGCAGATTATGCAAGTTTGCAATTGGCTTACAGGGTATACCCTGATCAATATGATGCCACTACTATCTAGTTCACTCATTCCAAACAATGGCTCCTTCCAAAGATGTCCAGAGTTTGATCACTTCCCAGAGGGGCAAGATAAGAGATCATCAAGGGGAAATGAGGAGAGAAGAGAATATTTATGATACAGAACACTGAACTAGACATTTTACAGAAATTATTTCTTTTAATCTACCCAAAACCCTGTAAGGTATTTTATTTTATTTTTTAGACAGAGTCTTGCTCTCTCCCCAGGCTGGAGTGCAGTGGCACGACCTCGGCTCACTGCAACCTCCGTCTGCCAGGTTCAAGCGATTCTCCTGTCTCAGCCTCCTGAGTAGGTGGGATTATAGGTGCCTGTCCCTAAGACTGGATAATTTTTGCATTTTTAGTAGAGACGAGGTTCCACCATCTTGGCCAAGCTGGTCTTGGACTCCTGACCTCAGGTGATCCACCTGCCTCAGCCTCCCAAAGTGCTGGGATTACAGACATGAGCCACTGTGCCCGGCCCCTGTAACGTATTTCATAGTCCTAGTTGTACATATGAAGAATCTTGACAGGAAATGGGGTAAAGTAACTTTTCCCCAGGAGTAACGCATGCACACACACGTACATAATTTGATTCAGGGAAGATTTTATGACTACTGTCCGATCTATTTCCTGTATATATAATTAAAGCAAGTTATTTAAAGCAGAGATTTATTGCAATTAAATTGGAATACCTTTTAAAGTCAGTTATTTCCCTTGGCAAAGATAAATTATACCTTTTGTGACCCACCCACTTGGAGCAGGGTCCAAGGAATAAAAATTTTGACTGGCACTTGTCATTTATATAGACCTTTATGCATTGGTAGCACAAGTCTCTGTTTATTGAGGGATGCCAGAAGATCACCACCATCCAGGAACCAGTCCTCTAGATTGTCTGTTGTGGTATCCAAAACTCCCACTTGAGACACCACATTGGAGAGAGGCATGGTTCAGAAAGACCACCGTTAAAGTAGAAATTTGTCACGCTGGAGGAGCATCAAATTCCCATTTATAATCAATGACACATTAGTCCGTTTGGGTCTGTCATAAGCTAATAGAGATCTGGACCTTGGGAGGATAAGCCAGCGACATTCAAATAAGGTGAGTTAGAGTTCAGCATCATGAGATTCTGCTTCTAAGGAAGGGATGCTAGAGCAGAGAGATAGCCAAAAGATAACATTTAAACTTTGGAGAATTAGAGGAAACAGCATTGAAAGGCAAAGGGGATTGCTGGGTTTAGTAAAAAAATAAAAAAATAAAAAAAAAGCACTTCCTTCACGCTTTCCCTCTTTTGTTTTTTATGACTCTAGGATCCACCCAGTTGCTCAAGTAAAAAACCTGAGAGACACCTTACGCCATCTGGGAACTTGTTAGAAATTCTTAAACCTCATTCTATACCTGCTAAATCAGAAAATGTAGGGATTAAGTCTGATTATTTGTGTTTTCGCAAGTCATCCAGGTGATTCTGATGCATGGAAAGTTTGAGAACCACTGGTTTAGGTTATTAAAAGTTCTTGTCTCCCTATATCTTGTTTTGCAATATCATTGCATTCACCCCAGCCCCACAAAGCTACCATCTATTGACCGTTTTGTAGCTATTGAGCTTTTTGAAGCAAAAATATGAGCAAGTCAATTCTCTGCTTAAAACCTTTCAATAGATTTCTAGTGTCCTTAACATAGCCTACAGAGCCCTTCACAATCTGAGGTCCTCACATGTCTCCAGCCTCATCCCGAGCCACTCCCTTGTGAGGCCCTCTCCCATCATGCTAAACGGCTTCACATGGCCTCCAAAGGAAAGTGTGACACCTTGCCTCAGTACCTGCACATGTGCTGCTCCTTCAGCCTAGAATATTCTATTGCTACCCCTTCACTTTACAAGCTGGCCAAACCCTACTCATCTTCAGAATGCTGTTTAGACATTACCTGTTTACCAATCCCATCAACTAGTTGCCTCGTCTTCTAGGCCTCCACTGAGCCTTGCACCTACATCTGTTATAGGCACTTCTCATATTACTATAATTACTTAAATCTGTTACTCCTATTAATTTATGATCGCTTGGAGAACAGAAGTTGTATCTTTTTCATTCCATGTCAACAGCATACTTCAAAGTACCTGGTACATAGGTTGCCAAAAAATGATTTTTGAGAGTTGATATGGTTTGGCTTTGTGTCTCTACCCAAATCTCATCTTGAATTGTACTCCCATAATTCCCACATGTTGTGAGAGGGACCTGGTAGGAGATAACTTGAATCCTGGGGGTGGTTCCCCCATACTGTTCTCATGGTAGTGAATAAGTCTCAAAATATCTGATGGTTTTATCAGGGGTTTCTGCTTTTGCGTCTTCCTCATTTTCTCTCTTTGCCCACTGCCATCTATGTATGATATGACTTGCTCCTCCTTGCCTTCTGCCATGATTGTGAGGCTTCCCCAGCCACATGGAACTGTGAGTTCTTCATTAAACCTCTTTGCTTTGTAAATCGCCCAACCTCAGGTATGTCTTTATTAGGGTGAATGAAAAGCAAAGATAAACTTTGTTAAATCATGGATTTGCCTAAAACTAGTTTCATAAAAGCTGATTCTTAAGTATTCATTTGCCTTCTGTTTAATTAACTTTATTACCACTTTCAGCTTAGTCCTAGGAAATTAAAGTGCATAAATGAGGTAATTTCTAAGAGAAAGCCAGAGAAGTCTGTTCTGACTTTTCCTGTAGGAGGGGTGAAGGAATGCATCTATTAATCTTGAGAAGGGTAACTTACTCTGAGTATATGTGAATTTTTTTCACAAGAAAGGGTACTACTTACAATAAAGACTCTTTAAATGGAAATGTTTTCTTTGGAAAAAATTAGAGTAAAATAAGGGAGTAATCAAAATATATTAGAAAAACTTATTTTGAAGAGCTTAACCGTCTTTTTTCTAGCCCCAAAGCTACCAAAATACATACTACGCAATTGACATTGGAAAATGACAACTGTTTCCACTAGCCATTCTAATGAACCTGAAATGGCATGAATTTTCTCTTGCAGTTTATGTAATTATTCCACAATCTACTACAAATAGTATTTTCCAAGAAATATCATCAGCTCCACATTGCAAAAAAGGCCAGTGAATTCATTTTTAAGAAAATAAGGCTTTATGCTGTAAAAGATGAAAAAACGTGAGATTCTAATACAATTCTGGTTAAATTGATATTTAACCCTTTCTGCATTGCAATTTGACAGTGTATTTCAATAACCTTACAAATAATGGTCTTTTTTTAACCCCAAATTCCACTGCAAATAATCCATTCTAATGAAACAATCAGAAATGTAGATTAATTTTTGTGGACTAAAATTATTTTTTAAGTTAGATATCTCTAATTTTTTTAAAAAAATGAGGCCATTATAAGTTGCAACCTCAGAAAATGGTATTAAGAATTTTTCATGGAGAATATTCATGATATGTGAAAAGTTAAAACACTATGAATCCGATCCTTTCCTGATCCGGGAGCCAAGATGGCCGAATAGGAACAGCTCCAGTCTACAGCTCTCAGCGTGAGTGACGCAGAAGATGGGTGATTTCTGCATTTCCATCTGAGGTACCTGGTTCATCTCACTAGGGAGTGCCAGACAGTGGGCGCAGGACAGTGGGTGCAGCGCACCAAGCGCGAGCCAAAGTAGGGCGAGGCATTGCTTCACTCGGGAAGTGCAAGGGGTCAGGGAGTTCCCTTTCCTAGTCAAAGAAAGGGGTGAAAGACGGCACCTGGAAAATCGGGTCACTCCCACCCTAATACTGCGCTTTTCCGACAACAGGCTTAAAAAACAGCGCACCAGGAGATTATATCCCTCACATGGCTCGGAGGGTCCTACGCCCATGGAGTCTCCCTGATTGCTAGCACAGCAGTCTGAGATCAAACTGCAAGGTGGCAGCAAGGCTGGGGGAGGGGCGCCCGCCATTGCCCAGGCTTGCTTAGGTAAACAAAGCAGCCGGGAAGCTCGAACTGGGTGGAGCCCACCACAGCTCACAGAGGCCTGCCTGCCTCTGTAGGCTCCACCTCTGGGGGCAGGGCACAGACAAACAAAAAGACAGCGGTAACCTCTGCAGACTTAAATGTCCCTGTCTGACAGCTTTGAAAAGAGCAGTGGTTCTCCCAGCACGCAGCTGGAGATCTGAGAATGGGCAGACTGCCTCCTCAAGTGGGTCCCTGACCCCTGACCCCCGAGCAGCCTAACTGGGAGGCACCCGCCAGTAGGGGCAGACTGACACCTCACACGGCCGGGTACTCCTCTGAGACAAAACTTCCAGAGGAATGATCAGACAGCAGCATTCGCAGTTTACGAAAATCCGCTGTTCTGCAGCCACTGCTGCTGGTACCCAGGCAAACAGGGTCTGGAGTGGACCTCTAGCAAACTCCAACAGACCCGCAGCTGAGGGTCCTGTCTGTTAGAAGGAAAACTAACAAACAGAAAGGACATCCACACCAAAAACCCATCTGTACATCACCATCATCAAAGACCAAAGGTAGATAAAACGACAAAGATGGGGAAAAAACAGAACAGAAAAACTGGAAATTCTAAAAAGCAGAGCACCTCTCCTCCTCCAAAGGAACACAGCTCCTCACCAGCAACAGAACAAAGCTGGATGGAGAATGACTTTGACGAGTTGAGAGAAGAAGGCTTCAGACGATCAAACTACTCTGAGCTACAGGAGGAAATTCAAATCAAAGGCAAAGAAGTTGAAAACTTTGAAAAAAATGTAGACGAATATATAACTAGAATAACCAATACAGAGAAGTGCTTAAAGGAGCTGATGGAGCTGCAAGCCAAGGCTCGAGAACTACGTGAAGAATGCAGAAGCCTCAGGAGCCGACGCAATCAACTGGAAGAAAGGGTATCAGCAATGGAAAATGAAATGAATGAAATGAAGTGAGAAGGAAAATTTAGAGAAAAAAGAATAAAAAGAAATGAACAAAGCCTCCAAGAAATATGGGACTATGTGAAAAGACCAAATCTACCTCTGATTGGTGTACCTGAAAGTGATGGGGAGAATGGAACCAAGTTGGAAAACACTCTGCAGGATATTATCCAGGAGAACTTCCCCAATCTAGCAAGGCAGGCCAACATTCAAATTCAGGAAATACAGAGAATGCCACAAACATACTCCTCGAGAAGAGCAACTCCAAGACACATAATTGTCAGATTCACCAAAGTTGAAATGAAGAAAAAAATGTTAAGGGCAGCCAGAGAGAATGGTCGGGTAACCCACAAAGGGAAGCCCATCAGACTAACAGCGGATCTCTTGGCAGAAACTCTGCAAGCCAGAAGAGAGTTGGGCGGGGCGGGGGGGGCCAATATTCAACATTCTTAAAGAAAAGAATTTTCAACCCAGAATTTCATATCCAGCCAAACTAAGCTTCATAAGTGAAGGAGAAATAAAATCCTTTACAGACAAGCAAATGCTGAGAGATTTTGTCACCACCAGGCCTGCTCTAAAAGAGCTCCTGTAGGAAGCACTAAACATGGAAAGGAACAACCAGTACCAGCCACTGCAAAATCATGCCAAATTGTAAAGACCATCGAGGCTAGGAAGAAACTGCATCAACTAACGAGCAAAATAACCAGCTAACATCATAATGACAGGATCAAATTCACACATAACAATATTAACTTTAAATGTAAATGGACTAAATGCTCCAATTAAAAGACACAGACTGGCAAATTGGATAGAGTCAAGACCCATCAGTGTGCTGTATTCAGGAAACCCATCTCATGTGCAGAGACACACATAGGCTCAAAATAAAAGGATGGAGGAAGATCTACCAAGCAAATGGAAAACAAAAAAAGGCAGGGGTTGCAATCCTAGTCTCTGATAAAACAGACTGTAAACCAACAAAGATCAAAAGAGACAAAAAAGGCCATTACATAATGGTAAAGGGATCAATTCAACAAGAAGAGCTAACTATCCTAAATATATATGCACCCAATACAGGACCACCCAGATTCATAAAGCAAGTCCTGAGTGACCTACAAGGAGACTTAGACTCCCACACAATAATAATGGGAGACTTTAACACCCCACTGTCAACATTAGACAGATCAACGAGACAGAAAGTTAACAAGGATACCCAGGAATTGAACTCAGCTCTGCACCAAGCAGACCTAATAGACATCTACAGAACTCTCCACCCCAAATCAACAGAATATACATTTTTTTCAGCCCCACACCACACCTATTCCAAAATTGACCACATAGTTGGAAGTAAAGCTCTCCTCAGCAAATGTAAAAGATCAGAAATTATAACAAACTGTCTCTCAGACCACAGTGCAATCAAACTAGAACTCAGGATTAAGAAACTCACTAAAAACCACTCAACTACATGGAAACTGAACAACCTGCTCCTGAATGACTACTGGGTACATAACGAAATGAAGGCAGAAATAAAGATGTTCTTTGAAACCAACGAGAACAAAGACACAACATACCAGAATCTCTGGGACACACTCAAAGTAGTGTGTAGAGGGAAATTTATAGCACTAAATGCCCACAAGAGAAAGCAGGAAAGATCCAAAATTGACACCCTAACATCACAATTAAAAGAACTAGAAAAGCAAGAGCAAACACATTCAAAAGCTAGCAGAAGGCAAGAAATAACTAAAATCAGAGCAGAACTGAAGGAAACAGAGACACAAAAAACCCTTCAAAAAATTAATGAATCCAGGAGCTGATTTTTTGAAAGGATCAACAAAATTGATAGACCGCTAGCAAGACTAATAAAGAAGAAAAGAGAAGAATCAAATAGATGCAATAAAAAATGATAAAGGGGATATCACCACCGATCCCACAGAAATACAAACTATCATCAGAGAATACTACAAACACCTCTATGCAAATAAACTAGAAAATCTAGAAGAAATGGATAAATTCCTCGACACATACACCCTCCCAAGACTAAACCAGGAAGAAGTTGAATCTCTGAATAGACCAATAACAGGCTCTGAAATTGTGGCAATAATCAATAGCTTACCAACCAAAAAGAGTCCAGGACCAGATGGATTCACAGCCGAATTCTACCAGAGG
This sequence comes from Homo sapiens, assembly GCF_000001405.40. Taxonomy (NCBI): domain Eukaryota; kingdom Metazoa; phylum Chordata; class Mammalia; order Primates; family Hominidae; genus Homo; species Homo sapiens. The sequence continues at coordinate 101,294,372 of NC_000009.12, forward strand.
TACAAGGAGGAACTGGTATCATTCCTTCTGAAACTATTCCAATCAATAGAAAAAGAGGGAATCCTCCCTAACTCATTTTATGAGGCCAGCATCATCCTGATACCAAAGCCTGGCACAGACACAACAAAAAAAGAGAATTTTAGACCAATATCCTTGATGAACATTGATGCAAAAATCCTCAATAAAATACTGGCAAACCGAATCCAGCAGCACATCAAAAAGCTTATCCACCATGATCAAGTGGGCTTCATCCCTGGGATGCAAGGCTGGTTCAGTATACACAAATCAATAAATGTAATCTAGCATATAAACAGAACCAAAGACAAAAACCACATGATTATCTCAATAGATGCAGAAAAGGCCTTTGACAAAATTCAACAACCTTCATGCTAAAAACTCTCAATAAATTAGGTATTGATGGGACGTATCTCAAAATAATAAGAGCTATCTATGACAAACCCACAGCCAATATCATACTGAATGGGCAAAAACTGGAAGCATTCCCTTTGAAAACTGGCACAAGACAGGGATTCCCTGTCTACTACTCCTATTCGACATAGTGTTGGAAGTTCTGGCCAGGGCAATTAGGCAGGAGAAGGAAATAAAGGGTATTCAATTAGGAAAAGAGGAAGTCAAATTGTCCCTGTTTGCAGATGACATGATTGTATATCTCAAAAACCCCATTGTGTCAGCCCAAAATCTCCTTAAGCTGATAAGCAACTTCAGCAAAGTCTCAGGATACAAAATCAATGTACAAAAATCACAAGCATTCTTATACACCAATAACAGACAAACAGAGAGCCAAATCATGAGTGAACTCCCATTCACAATTGCTTCAAAGAGAATAAAATACCTAGGAATCCAACTTACAAGGGACGTGAAGGACCTCTTCAAGGAGAACTACAAACCGCTGCTCAAGGAAATAAAAGAGGATACAAACAAATGGAAGAACATTCCATGCTCATGGGTAGGAAGAATCAATATCGTGAAAATGGCCATACTGCCCAAGGTAATTTATAGATTCAATGCCATCTCCATCAAGCTACCAATGACTTTCTTCACAGAATTGGAAAAAACTACTTTAAAGTTCATATGGAACCAAAAAAGAGCCCACATCACCAATTCAATCCTAAGCCAAAAGAACAAAGCTGGAGGCATCACACTACCTGACTTCAAACTATACTACAAGGCTACAGTAACCAAAACAGCATGGTACTGGTACCAAAACAGAGATATAGATCAATGGAACAGAACAGAGCCCTCAGAAATAACGCCACATATCTACAACTATCTGATCTTTGACAAACCTGAGAAAAACAAGCAATGGGGAAAGGAATCCCTATTTAATAAATGGTGCTGGGAAAACTGGCTAGCCATATGTAGAAAGCTGAAACTGGATCCCTTCCTTACACCTTATACGAAAATTAATTCAAGATGGATTAAAGACTTAAACGTTAGACCTAAAACCATAAAAACCCTAGAAGAAAACCTAGGCATTACCATTCAGGACATAGGCATGGGCAAGGACTTCATGTCTAAAACACCAAAAGCAATGGCAACAAAAGCCAAAATTGACAAATGGGATCTAATTAAACTAAAGAGCTTCTGCACAGCAAAAGAAACTACCATCAGAGTGAACAGGCAACCTATAAAATGGGAGAAAATTTTCACAACCTACTCATCTGACAAAGGGCTAATATCCAGAATCTACAATGAACTCAAACAAATTTACAAGAAAAAAACAACCCCATCAAAAAGTAGGCGAAGGACATGAACAGACACTTCTCAAAAGAAGACATTTATGCAGCCAAAAAACACATGAAAAAATGCTCACCATCACTGGCCATCAGAGAAATGCAAATCAAAACCACAATGAGATACCATCTCACACCAGTTAGAATGGCAATCATTAAAAAGTCAGGAAACAACAGGTGCTGGAGAGGATGTGCAGAAATAGGAACACTTTTACACTGTTGGTGGGACTGTAAACTAGTTCAACCATTGTGGAAGTCAGTGTGGCAATTCCTCAGGGATCTAGTACTAGAAATACCATTTGATCCAGCCATCCCATTACTGGGTATATACCCAAAGGACTATAAATCATGCTGCTATAAAGACACATGCACATGTATGTTTATTGCGGCACTATTCACAATAGCAAAGACTTGGAACCAACACAAATGTCCAACAGTGATCCACTGGATAACGAAAATGTGGCACATATACACCATGGAATACTATGCAGCCATAAAAAATGAGTTCATGTCCTTTGTAGGGACATGGATGAAATTGGAAATCATCATTCTCAGTAAACTGTCGCAAGAACAAAAAACCAAACACCGTATATTTTCACTCATAGGTGGGAATTGAACAATGAGAACACATGGACACAGGAAGGGGAACATCACACTCTGGGGACTGTTGTGGGGTGGGTGGAGCGGGGAGGGATAGCATTAGGAGATATACCTAATGCTAAATGACGAGTTAATGGGTGCGGCACACCAGCATGTCACATGTATACATATGTAACTAACCTGCACATTGTGCACATGTACCCTAAAACTTAAAGTATAATAATAATAAAATAAAATTTAAAAAAACACTATGAATCCATAATTGTTTTTAAATAAAAAGAATGCAACATTATATAAGTGTATATGTGTATTTGTGTGTTATCCATAGCAAAGAGACTGAAGGGAAACACACTAAAAATTAGCTGTTGTCACTTCTGAATTGTAGGATAATGGGCAAATTGGGCAAATAATTTTTGGCTTTCTAATGTTCCATAATTTTAATTTTTTATCATGAATATGTTTACTTTTAGAAATCAGAAAAAGAACTAAAGATAATTTTTTTAAAGAGTGAGGGCAGAATAAAGGCTATCCAGAACGATGGCCAAGTTCTCTAACAGTCTTCAGTGTGGATAGAAGAGCAAAAACTTCAACTTGCTTCTCTAATTCTTTTGTCTCCTCTCGTCTGTGTGGCATGGATTTGAAGGATAGGCTTCTGCTTCACCCCACAGATCCAAATTAAGTTTTAAATGAGACAATGACAAGAATAGTGACATCAAAGAGAAAACATTCAAATTCAACCATCTCCTCCTTTAGCAAATGCTAATGGTGTTGACTTTGACGGAGAGTATTAAATTCCTTTGATTCACAAATCCAACAATACATTTTTCCCCCCAACCTTCTCATTATAAGAAAGCTGCCTGTCCTCCCAGGCTTTAAGCATAAAACATCATAGCTAAACTTCTCTATCCACTTCTAAACCATTGTATAGTTTCTCAAGTTATATTTATATAATGTGCAAAGGGAGGAAAGGAACTGGCTAAACTAACAAATTTTACCTGTACTTTATAAAAACAAATGTAATCAAATTAGTAACATGTATTAAGACTCCTCTCTCTCATTTTTTCCCTCTTCATTTCTTTTACTTTATACCATTTCCTTTGCTACTACATTACATTGTGTAGTAACAGCAACACAGATTTATGTTCTCAAGAGAGTTAAACACCCACCTTTCTTTTTCAGTGGCAATGACTAAGTAAGGAAGTTACATTTTCCAAAAAAAATGTGAAGTTCAGTTCAGTTCTGCTCACAAATATACTTGAGTAAATATTTTTGTAAATATAAATTATTAAACAGTAACTTTTTAATACTGAAAAGTAATGAATAGACAGCATTAGAATTTGATGAGGGTTTTTGGTTTGTTTACCATATAGAAGGAAAACCAAATTAACTTTCCCTTCCTGAATAGTTGCTTTGAGTTAATTAAAAAACTGATCCAAATATGCAAACATTAGACTATTAGCACTAAAATAGCTTGTCATCCAGAGCTCTTCATTATAGTCTTTTCATTTGGGGTCACACAGTTGATCCATTATTACTTCTAATAAAAATTTAATTAAATACCAGCCAAGTCTTCTGCCATTTAGGTCCGGTCCGAGGATTAGGTAGCACTGGACAGACTAAAAAGTGCCATGGTAAACAGCGAATTCATGTAACGCTAATTAATTTCCATAAATCAAGTGTGGTCTAAGTGAAGCATGAATATTTTAAATGCAGTTTCAAAGGTCATGGCGTTTTATGGTTTTAAGAATTGATACCCTGGGACGAGCTTAATGTCAGCCTTTTTGAGAACTAGAAAATCCTCGATTTTGAAAGTCATTTAAATGTACTTTATCAGAAAAAGACTTTATTTGATTCAATTAGTCTATTTCTGTTTGCATTCAGTATTTATAGTTAAAATACAGCTGGGGGGCCGGTCATGTTCATTCAACCTTCAATGAAATAGTCATTGAGCACCTACTAGATGCTAGGTACAGATTAAGGTGTTTAGAATCTATGAGTGAACCAAATAGAAATGTGCCCTCATTCAGTTTATAGTCTGATAGAAAAAGCCAGACACTAAACAAAATAAATTATAATGTTAGAAGATAAGTAGTACAGAGAAAAATAGGGAAAGGAAATAGGGAGTTTGTGGCAGCAGATATGTAATTTTAAATGGAGAGGAGAAGCTGTATACCATGAGAATTGTTGAGTTGGCAGTGAATTCATAGCAGGACAGAGCAATCAAGACAGGGATGATCCCAGGGAAACAGATGCCCAGGGAACCAGGCCAGCTCCATGTGCTGACCGAGAAGTTCAATCTACCCAGGTAGTCTAAAGATAAGTGACAGTGCCCAGGCACCCAACTTTCTTTCTGAGCCATGAGTCTAGATCATAAAAGAAAAATGTCAAGAGCAAGGCAGGACATGGGCCTATAAGCAGATGGAGATAATTTCTAGAATTCAGCAACAGGAACCGTAGTTGAAGCTCAGGTACACAGGTTAAGAGGAAAGAGCCAGGAAGAATCTTCAGGGAACAAAATGGAACCCCTGTTTCTGGACCACTTAAGCAGCCAAGGCACTAGATTAGAGACTAAGATGTTTGCTGCTTCCTACTAGGGATCAGGATTGGGCTTGTGGCTGGGATTCAAGGATGCAGGGGAGGAAGGATGCTGAAGCTGGTACCATGACTGGCCTAGAAGGCGTAGCCAGGGAGCAACCTTTGCTTGGGTCTCAAGAAATTGTGATGAGGTTACTTTTGGTTCCTCTGCTCAGTGCAGGGACTGAATCTATTCCCCTTTGATTGTCATCCTTGGTGAGCCAGAATATTACAGATCTGACCAAGACTCCTACCCTAGAACTCCCTAGATTACCCTAATTATCAAGAGGAAAGTTATTGAGTCATATGAGACTAGTGATTCTTTTCTGTGGGTCCTCCTTAGCTCTAGTGTTGAGAGGCTGGACTCCAATAAAGGACTGAGCAGAAGACTGCTTTCTGTAGCACTTTGCAGGTTAGACAATGCAAATTCATGACACTACAGTGAACTTAATTGCTGTAAAACAGTGTTTCTTACCCTCAGCACTCTCGACATTCTCTGCCAGATAATTCTTTTTTTGTGTAGAAGTAGAATACTGACTTGTGTGCATTGTATTAATACAATGTTTAGTAGTACCCCTGGCCTCTATCCAACAAATGCCAATAGCACTCACTCCTCTAGTAGTGACAATCAAAAATGTCTCCAAACATTACAAAAGTTCCCTGGGGCAGGGTCACCCTCAGCTGACAACTACTTTTGTAAAGGTTTTTTTAAGTATATTTCAAAGACTTTTAAGAAGTTATACAATATCTTGCATAACAAAAATATTCATATAACAAAACTAGGCACTAACTGATGACTCAACAGTTAGTAAAGTGTAGTTTCAAAGCTTTCTATAATAATTTTTAAAAAGTAGTGTGTGTTTTGGAAGCAACTTACTTATTTTTATTTTCTGAGACAGGGTCTTACTCTGTCACCCAGGCTGGAGTGCAGTAACATGACCACAGCTCACTGCAGCCTTGACCTCCCAGGCTCAAGCAATCCTCCCACCTCAGTCTCCTGAGTAGCCGGGAGCACAGGCACACACCACCACACCCAGCTAATTTTAAATTATTATTATTTGCAGAGACAGGGTCTCCCTATGTTGCCGAGGTTGGTCTCGAACTTAAGGGATCCTCCAGCCTCAGCCTTCCAGAGTGTTGATATTATAGGTGTGAGCAGAAACTATTTAAGTTATTACATTAGAACATAATGAAATTGTTTAGGAAATGCATCAAGCAGAGGGCAACAGTGCCAGATCTCAGTATCTGTAAATCACCAACAGGGCTGGGAGCTGCCCATGGGGGCTTGATGCTGATCTTGTGGTAGGAATGGGAGTAGATTCAGATCATCAGCTTCAGCTTTAGAAACTTACAAACATGGAATCACAAAAGCCGAATTTGAAGCCTTCTAAAAATCCAGGCCTCAATATTCCTATATTTCGATATCTCTTGGTAGCTACATTTTTTTCTCCACATTTAGTTTGTATCCAGGGCATATTTTCTAGACTTACTTGCATCCACAGGTTCCATTCCACTTTAAAGTTACCATAGCCTCTGGCAAACTTTTATGTTTTCCTCTGTATTAAGCAGCATTTGGCATTATACCGCCTAGAGGGACCGAGAAGATATTTAGAGGCTAGGTGGCAAGAGAGAAGGCTCATATTTGTGAGATAAAGCACTGGGGAATTGTCCTGTCAAAGGAGTAAAGAGGACATTCTTGAGATAAAATCCTGTTAAGAAGCAGAGTAATTTTATGCTTTGAGGAAGTAAAAATGTATTTGTTTGTTCTTTTGTTTATAAAAATATTTGGTGGGCTTTCTAGTTGATTACTCATCATCTTTATTAAGTAATTATCCTTCATCTTCACTTATCATGAGTAATTACAATGACAAATACAGGGTATTTTTTTCTAAACCACCAGCTTATCGCATTGTAAAAGGTGCTTTATTAATACAAAGGATGAATAACTGAGTCAAATATTTGTTTCAGGTTGTTACAATTGTAGGTTTCTTATATCTTTCCTGCATTTAAAAAATAATTTTATAATCAATTTATAACCACTTCCCTTAGTTACATCTACTTCTCTCAGTTATAAGAGCAATATCAATAAAGGGCTCACAATTGACAAAGTGTTTTTACAACTGTTTTTTATGATTTGAATAATCACCCTGTGATACAAGGCATACTTATAATTCATTTTAACAGATAAAGTGACTAGGTTCAGATTAATTGACTTTAATAAAATCTTTTCTTATGATTTCAACCATCTGATCAAGACAAGCAGGCTATTGTCAGCCTTTGGTGTTTGTGCAGTATCGATAGGAGAAAGACTACAGCATTGCTCTGTAAACACCTAAAATTTACTATCCAAGGAACTGATGTATTCAATTTTGCCAGAAACTTATTTTTGAAGCACAATATATAGGGCATATGGATCAATTGCACCGAATGTGTTTGTCATACTAGAAAAAAGTCAGATTCATTGCTAAAGTGATGAGAAAAGTGCCTTATTCAAATGATGACATATCATAGATATTCAATCATCTTCTTTTTGGAAAATTGACTACAAAATTGAAGAATTCGTATTCTGTTGTGGCAAGTGAAATACATTTCATGAGGGACATGTTATAAAGTCCTTGCCTCTTCTCAGTGCTGTGTGCATGTGTGTGTGCTCCCAAGCATAAGCTAAGATATCTTTATGGTCTGATGCTTATCCATATGTATGTTAATAATAAATAAGCTTAGACAATTATGATTAAGAATATAGCCTCTGGAGCCTTACTATTCTGTTTGTAACCCAAGCTCCTCTACTCACTAGCTGTATGACCTTGGTCAAGTTAATTGACTTCTCTGGATCTCAATTTCCTCACCTGTAAAATGTAGGGATAATAGTGTCTACCTCAAAGTCATGGTGAGCATTAGGTGAACTAATATTGCAAAGCACTTAGAACAATACTTTGTATGTACTAAGCACAGCATATTAGCTATTGTTATTATTACCTGGTATCCATGGCAGTCATAGTTAAACATCTCATCAGGTCAGTACACCTTTATAAGGAAATGGGATGAACATGGTAACCTCAGATAAATTATCTTCATAGGAAACTTCCAGTTTGAATAAAGCATGTTAATGAGAAAGCATTTTACCACTTTTCCTAAAGAAACTGTGGTTTCCTGAAGGAATGGTCTTCAATAGTTGAATTGAGGTACCTTGGCAAAAATGGAATTAGATAGAGATTTTCTACTGGGGATCCTGATGTGGAAAAGAAAAAGCAAAAGTAAACTGTATGTGTTTCTTTAATCTTGTGTTCCATTTCCAATGGAAGTTGGTGGTTGAATCAGAATGTGGTTGGGGAAACAGTGTTAAGAATTCCTTAGGTATTCCTCTTACAGTGTTGAAATGGCACTGGTAAACCCCTGCCATTTGCTTGTACTTTTCTGTGTGGGATAAGATTTTTTTATCATTTTTTCTACCAAAACAGAGGCCAGAAGCTAATGGGAGGGCACGTTTTCTCATTTTGTGGACATCACGGTAGAAAAGCTACCACAAAGAGATGCACAAAGCTGGTTAGATTTTGAAAACGAGAAAATGTTCAAGTATCCTCAATATCATACAACATGCTACTACTTTCACTATCTTTCACGACATCGTTTTACCATAGAGAAACAAAAGAACAGTCCTCTTTTTAACAGTTTATTTTTGTTGTTATTTTGTTTTTGTTTTTTGAGACAGAGTCTCGCTCTGTTGCCCAGGCTGGAGTGCAGTGGCACAATCTCAGCTCACTGCAACCTCCGCCTCCCACGTTCAAGCGATTCTCCTGCCTCAGCCTCCTGAGTAGCTGGGATTACAGGCACCCAGCACCACCGGCTAATTTTTGTATTTTTAGTAAGGACAGGGTTTTATCATGCTGGCCAGGCTGGTCTCAAACTCCTGGCCTTAAGTGATCCACCCACCTCTGCCTCCCAAAGTGCTGGGATTACGGGGACAAGCCACTCTGCCCACAGGTTTTTTTGTTTGGTTTGGTTTGTTGCTGTTGTTTGAGAAGGAGTTTTACTCTTGTTGCCCAGGCTGGAGTGCAATGGCACAATCTCTGCTCACTGCAACCTCTGCCTCCCAGGTTCAAGTGATTCTCCTGTCTCAGCCTCCTGAGTAGCTGGGATTACAGGCATGCATCACCATACCTGGCTAATTTTACATTTTTAGTAGAGACAGGATTTCACCCTATTGGTCAGGCTGGTCTTGAACTCCTGAGCTCAGGTGATCCGCCTGCCTCGGCCTCCCAAAGTGCTGAGATTACAGCATGAGCCACTGTGCCTGGCCAACAATTTTTGATAAGAGATTGAGAACGAATGTTAAGGAAAGTAGGGAGGGGTGGTAAAAGCTGCGGTTCAGACTAAGCAACTGCCCACAGAGTAGCTTTTCAACATAGATGCAGAGTACTGTTGGCAATTTAATCCAGATAAATTGTTTTTATGTCTTTTTCACTATTCTTTTCTTTTTTAAAGTTCCATGTGTTAGTTTCCCCACATGAAAATGTATAGAAGTTTTTATGTGCCCACGTGTTAATACTGAAACTGACAACCATTGTAATTTCTCAGAATCAGAAATAGGGACATTTCTAAGATATGCATGTTTCAATAAAACTACCCATCAATACTTCCCAAGTTCATCATGACTTGAGTTTCTTGTGCTTCACAAACATCTCCAATAAAAAGTATTTGTTGTGTATGACATAGATCTCCATACTCTAAGGTTTTTTTTATTCTCACTGCATTAGAATAGAGAGTGCTTTGATTTGTGAATTATGATTTACAGTTTTCCAATTCATGAGACACTTATAAAGTCCCAGTTTTTAATGATCACTTATTTTCTAGTTGCCTAGCACTATGCCCGACTTTGTGAATTTTATAAAAAGGAGATATGATCCCTGCAACATACATGCTAAATGGCTTTTTGTCAACTATGTTCTCTGAAATCAGGGATGCAAAGCACCAACATGAATTAGAAAATATGGACAAGTTTCTATGCTCTTTTATCCTCTTCTGTTAATCTCTAAAGTTTCTTCAGCAATTCATTCATTGATCCCACAATTATCTGTTAAATGTTTACTATGTGCCAAGTTTGATGCTAGGTGCTGGGAATACAATGATGAGCAAAAACAAATGTGTTCCTTGCTGTAATAAAGCTTCCATATTCAACAATTCTAATGTGACAGATGGAAATTATTGAATAATCTATGCAAGTGTAAAGTTCCTACTGAAACAAGAAATATGAGAATAATGGTACCATACTAGTCTAAAATAGGAGATTTTTCCAACATCCGATGTGATCTGTGATTATTTCTCCCTATTTACTCTTAAATGGGGCAAGACCTATGCATGCTCTATTCATCAGCAGAAGTGTGACTTGCTCTTGGCCAACTTTTCAGAGCTACAGCTTGAAAGCAGACGTACACAGCCCCAAGTCCAGTCCCTAGTTAGCAGGCTTCCTACTAGAGCTCCTCAGCTCCAAGGAACTAGCATCTGCTGTCCTCACTGTGTGGCTCATTGGTACTCTATAGAGCGTGCACAAAGCTGCTATAGCCAGCAGCAGCCACGCTCTCCAGAACACGTGGATCTAGTCCTCTTGGAATGCGAAATGCCCATGCCTGTGCCCCTGCCACCTCCTGTTGAGTTCTTGTCCAGGAGTCTCTCTGTAAATACATTTAGGAAAAAAAAAGGTAAGAGAGGAGAGTCTTCAGCCAATTCAGAGCGAACTCATCCAGTGGGGAGACAGAAGCCTTGTTTTCTGGGGAGTCTAAATCCTGGATCTCAGAGTCAGGGGCCTGATAGTATGAAAGAAAGAAAGCCTTTCCCTAGATTTTCTCCTGCCGTCTCTGTAGTCTCTGTCTTCTGAGGAGAAGCTTGAGTTTTCCATGAGGTAAAAGTGTGTGTGTGTGTGCGTGCATGTGTGCATGCGCAAGTGTGTGTATGTGTGTGAGAAAAAGAGAGAGATTAAACATACTCCATATGAAGGTTATCAACAGTGGACCCCTCTCACTCATCCTCCCTTCAGTTTGGTGTCATTTGGCCAACTTTCCATCTTTTTTCACTGTCGTCATGTATGATTTTAGTGGACAATGAGAGATGATCCATCAGAGGCTGTCAGCAAAGTGCCTTTTTGACTGGAGAATTACACATTTATAATTTAGTATGCAACATTTGGCCTTCAGTTTTGAGGCTCTACCCAAGGTCTCAGACTTTCCGGGCCTAAAAGGAACATGGTCCTTCCTTTGCTCACCCCACCAACCTCTGCTAATTGTTACTCTGTTGCATGCATCTAGGCTTCCTAATGAAGGTCTGCTGTGTGGACAGCACTGAGCAGTCTGGTTCTGTACTTTTCCCAGTTCTGAAGGGATCCTGGAATGAGGCCTGTTATTGTTTGTCAGTAGACCAATTACTGGTGGCTTTGAAGATCTCCTTCATGCACGTTTCCTGGTTCTGTCACTGTTTCTACTACATTCTTGGTGGAGTCAAGTGCTGGAGTCCTGTGCTGAGTCCATAGCAGGAATAGGGTCACAGAATTTCACTCCATGTCCTAAACTACTAGGGATCAAAGATCCTAACTTGTCCAAAGACATCCTATCTGAGATCAGATGGGGTCCAGGTAAAACCCTGAGAAAAAAGTGAGAGACTTTAACACCTTCATCATCCTCTTTCTTTATCCTTTGTTTAGCCCAGTGTGCATCAGTTATGTTCTTTTAGGTCACAAAGAGCTCAGGTTTCCTTAGACAATCCATGTTACTGGGACCTGATCATGGCCATCACCAGCAGACACCAATTTTTTTTGTCCTTCCAAGCCTCTTCTCAACTAATTTGACCCTTCCTTGGCCATTGCTAATGCAGTTACCCTATGCTGTGGTGCCAAGCTGGATGTGAAACTTCTCTAAGATGTTTGTGGGGTTCCCAATCTACACCCCAGCAGGAACACGATGCCCTTTGTCCACATTTACAAAAAACCCTTCTGGAGATTTGTATTTCCCAGCCCCTGAGGCTTGACACCAGCCTGAGGCGGGGAGCCTGTAAGTACCTCTTTACTTCTGTAATCAGAACAGGCAGGGCTTCAGCTCCTCCTGTGACACCCACATCTGCTTCCTCACCTGCTCTGCAGCTGATTTCAGAAACTTTGTAAGACTGTCTCGCCCTCCAGGTTGTAGCTCTTGATCTTCCAAACCAAGCATATTCAGAATTCTGAACACAGCCACAGCAATCACAACAAGGACATAGCTCTGGCAAATAAAAAGTGCTTTACTTCTGGACTTTTGTGTCTGTTGTAAATTGGAAAATCCATTCAGAAACATAATTGGCTTTGGCTTCTCTGAAGTAAGAAACAACACAGATGGAGCAGAGCCTTAAGATAAATAGAACCATCTGAGGGGTGTGGGGTTACAGAAATGAAAAATATCTATTAAAAAATATGATCTCACCTGAAGAATTTTAGACTCCAAGCCAAGATACAGAGACATTTTTAAAACATCTTCAAATCATACCTTGCAATACTGGAGACCAAATGGTGTTTCATCTGACTCTAAGGGCAAAAGTAGCTGTTTTTAGCTTCTGAGGCTTGTAAAAATACACACAAGGAGCGTAGGGTGAAGTAAGAGAGAGATGGCTTGAGTTCCTTTGGAAAAGCCCTGTATGATCTGACATGGTCTGTGAGTTACCAGTGCAGGTTCCACCGCGCTTTGTTGGTGTGGCCTGCATGGGGCAGGTGGGCTTCCCAGGCTGATGCGGTACTTCCTGAAGCTGGATCAAATGCACCAGAATGAAGTGGTTGGACAGCGGATGCTCCTGAAGCCAGCAGAAGAAACAGACACAATCCACAGAAGGCAGAGAGAAGAAGAGAAGCTACTTTCAGCCTTGGCATACAGGACAATGGTGTGGAGAGCTGGCCACCATACAATCGCTGTGACCACAGAGCTGGCACTGACCCAAGGAACCTAGAAATCCTCTGCCAAAGAAAGAATAAAACCTGCCCTAATTGGAAACACTTCTGACAAAATGCCAAAGGGAGATCCTGCCACTTTTCCTTTTTCAGATCGTAAATCACCCTAGTTTCCTGGAAAAGTTATGTCTGGACAGACTTATTGCCCCTTGAAAGACCCAGCAACCTGGTCTTTGAAAATCTTGCTGGAAGATGTAGAAAATCTCCAACCATTCAGACTTCCAGTACCTGGGGGTGAAAACTGCCTCGGATGATCAATGAATGCCTGCTCTCAGAGGTCAGACCCAATGAGTATGAGCCAGCAGAAGCTTAAGAGCTAGTTCTCATTATGATAAAGCACATTCTGGCAAGGCCACAAAAAGAAAGATGATGGCAATCAGCACAGATACAAATGAAAACCAGACGAAGGTTTCAGCCAAACTAGTCTTCACTTCTGCTATAATGGATTAATTTTTGGGTGCTGAAGTCAGCACAATTTGCAGATTCAGAACACTGAATACGGGAGTCAAAATTGGGTAGACATTTAGTTGAAACTATAGCAGACTCTTGACATTTACAAGGGTTAATGCTGCCTCTCGCACTTGTCAACTTCTACCTTCAATTGCATATAATACATCTTCATCTCTTCAACCCACTTATAGCTCTACACAGCCTTTCTCAGTGCATAGATGTAATATACAGGCCTTGAAATAACTCACAGCAAAGCTTTCTGTAAGGAAACCTCTGCATGTTCAAGCTTGTTGGGGCTAATCCTCTGGAATTTACCAGAGAACAAATAAAATCCAGGAAGTATAGCCTACTCACAGGGTTTTCAGACCAACAGCAAAACCAGAATAATGCACCCTTCCCCACCAAAGGATGATCATGTCCCTGGAAACTGAATGTTACCTTACATGGCAAAAGGGAATGCAGGTGTGGTTGAAGTTGTGATAGGGAGACTATCCTGGATTATCCAGATATAATCACAAGGGTCCTTATAAGAGACAGGCAGGAGGCTCAGAGTCAGAGGAGATACAACAGTGAAGGCAGAAGTTGGAATGATGTGAAGTGCTGGAAAGAGGCCATAAGATAAGGAATGAAGGCAACTTCTAGAACACATGGAAAAGGAAAGATGTGGATTATACCCTGAGCACTTAGAAGGAACACAGCCCTGCCAATGCTTTGAGTTTAGCTTAGTGGAACCTATTGTAGGCTTCTGAATTCCAGAATACAGAAGTCTGAAGGGGATACATTTGTGTTGTAAGCCCCTCGGTTTGTGGTAATTTGTTATAGCAGCAATAGGAGGCTATTGGTCAACAACATTTGTTTTTAACACTTTTCCTTTATTCTCATTTTCTGTTTCCAACATCAAATGAAACTCCAATTCAAGCAAAGTTTCTAGAATAATTTTTTTAAAAGACAATTCCATAAGATCCTCCTTTACTCTCACCTGCCATGTTGTAAATAACTCCTCCCAAGATGATTTACATTTCCAAGTAGAATCAGGGAGAAGGTATTTCGTATAGAAGGAGAGAGAACTGATGTTGATTAATTACGTAGACACCATAGCAAGTATTTTGCACGTAGATTATTCTCTTTTCCCCAAACTACCCCCTACTCCATTTTGCAGCAAAGGTAACCAAGATTCAAGAAAGATAAATAACTTATACTCTGAATGAGTCACCACTGATGTGTCTATATGACTCCAAAATTCAAATTATTTTCGTTAGACTGTGCTTTTTCTAAACTACCGATACAAAACCATAAAGTCCTAACAGTAGAATGTCTACATCAATTTGGAAGAAATGGTGATTTGGGAAGCAGGTACCACTCCTGGAAAGATACTCCGGGGAGTACTTAGAATCATTTTGATAGGTCATCATGGACTCTCACCGCTGTTTTCTCTTAGGAGAAAAATGCAATTGACAGAGTATGTTACCATTCCTAATGATTTTAAATCTTCTTATAGGGGTGTTTGCATTTGGACTTTTTGCTACTGACATTTTTGTAAACGCCGGACAAGTGGTCACTGGGCACTTAACGCCATACTTCCTGACTGTGTGCAAGCCAAACTACACCAGTGCAGACTGCCAAGCGCACCACCAGTTTATAAACAATGGGAACATTTGTACTGGGGACCTGGAAGTGATAGAAAAGGCTCGGAGATCCTTTCCCTCCAAACACGCTGCTCTGAGCATTTACTCCGCCTTATATGCCACGGTGAGTGTGCAAGTCTTGTCTCTCCTAAGTCCAGTTTTTGATAGGATGTGTGTCTCCCTGCCCTGTCTCCATTCTTTCATTGTCACTTATAGCGACTCTTAAATTTATGTATGGCATATTTCTCTACATTATGCTATTGATATACTAGCCCCCCCACACACACACTTCTACCCCACTTTCAATCTCCTGATCTGCCAGAGGATATTAGTTCTGGAATGTTTTGATAATCACCTAATTACATCCTCCCATTTACAGATGTGAAAGCAGGGTCCCACAGTATAGCTAAGATCATACAACCAGAGCAGGGACCCAGACTCCTGGTACTGTGTCTGAGATTTTCTTACCTCCCACAACAGTACTCTTTGTCAAGGTTTTCGTTGGTTTCGGAACAGCACACCTTCTCACACCTGCCTAGAAATTTGCAAGCATGGGCCTTATATGAATGACTGCTCCAACAACATGCAGACCCAGGATACACAGCTTTCCTTTGCTCTGGCACTTTTCTCCATGACTTTGCTAGGAGACAGGGATGATCCTAGAAAAACCTCAACACCCCAGAGTATGTTTCTCATTGTCCCCCAGATCGCACAGCCATTGACTGCCCCACTGGGGTATAATTTTCTCTGGTTTTCTTTTTGTTCTAGTAACAGAAAAACCAAAGTATGTCCCACATCTTAAAGAACAATGGTGTCTCTCTTATTTTCCAACTTTTTAACTGTATTCATTTTGGAAATAACTTCATTTCACTCTTGTCTGGCTTATGCATTCTTAGGACCCAGAATATAGACATGCAGAGATCAGCTCAAAGGCTCCACGGGCTGATACGATATTGCTGGTGGACATCAGGTGCATTTACCAGTGGCAGAGCAACTGTTGGCCCAAAACACCCCCTTTCCTTACTTCAACTTATTTTATATTCAGAATATGACTAGTCTGGTAATTCTCAATGGAAAGTGTGGGAATGGAAAAGACAGAAGGAAGCCTCCTTTCAAACTGTCCATTCTTCCCAAACATCTGAGTATGCCCTCAACCCACCCCCCAGGGAGATGCTACCCTTCCTGTCACTGAGTGTAATTGCAGGAGGCATGTTCTGCCTCTGCGGGAAGAAAACGGGTCTGTGCCTTCACCCCTAGGGTGGAAAAAAGGCAAAAACTCATATGGGTTTCTTATACCCCAAATGATTCTTTAATTTGTCACATAAAAACTGCATGTTCTGAATCTAATAATTAATACACAGTCATTCTTTGTGACTATGGGTCTGATCTATTTATTTAAAACAACCAGGAGCAGATAGTGCCTTTGTGTCCCATTTACAGGATCACATCGATAGGGTTATTTTGTCAACCACCAACTATGTGACATGAGTATGTGAAAAAAAGGACTTCAGCTGTCCCCACATTAAAGAAACAAGGATGCAAATAACACAGAAGCCTCAATTTACAAAACAGATTATAGCTCAGTTAAATGTCTTTGCTTTATCAAAAACAAAACCAAACCAAAAAACCTCTATGCAGGTATTTTTTTTAAACAAATAAAGCCCTCTGAAGTATCCAACATATTTTCAAATTTTCAGAATGTTGATTTTTCCTAATTATCTAGAACCTAAACAATGTATTCTTGTGCCTTTTCCTGTATTTTTTATCAGACTCAAGTCATTGCTGTGTGAAATTAATTTTTATAGTACCATTATAAAAATTATTCTGTTACTTATAATAAACTACTGTCTCAACAAATGAGATACGAAGTTCTTTGGGCAAGAAAGAAGTAAATATCATCAGCTCACACAGAATAAATGTGACTATAACATGTTCTCAAGGATTCAGATGTTATCCAATTCAAATCATGCCTCACAGACTATAGTCAGATAAACCCTGATATAAGATTCCAATTGCATAAATCTTCTGAGCCGCTATTACATGTCAAATGCTTTCAGAAATTACTCAACAAGGATTTCCTAAGTACTGGTTAATACTATGAAGAATACCAACTAACCATAGGCTCATGCTTTTAATAGTTTTTAATCTTTCTTATAGGAAAGATTTATGACAGATATAATTGGAAAACATAATAGCATGAACAACTGAATATATGCAGCATAGGTTTTAAGTAACATTTACCAGAGTCTGAAAATAGTGTAATAATATGCTGTAATTTATGTAACTGTGATGTAACCAGTTTTATAGGGAATCTGTTATATAGAAGAGATTCCTATCTTCTGGTATTCTCACCAGTGTTGAGGTATCATTCTAGAATATTAAGAATTTCTATTGTAATACTGTAAAATGCGTCTATTTTAACTTATATGTGCTCAGGCCATATACACATACTATATAAGTATCAGCATATTATTTTTTAGAATTGCTAAGCTCACATAGCACATTTGTTAAGAAATGATAGACCAATGGTGCCCTCTAGTGGTGTTTTGTAACTACTACCAAAGGTTAGCTAAAAAAGTGTACTTACATGAAAAAGGCATGGCTTCCTAACTCTAAACCACCAGGGACACATTTGCTAACTGAACCTGTAAAACGTCAGAGTCTTACCCAGCACCTCACAACAAACTAATAACAGCCGCCTACATCTCAGGTGTCATAACGTGTATCATCTTTTACTTAGCTCAGGTCTTCTTGACCTTTTGTATCTTGTGGAACACACAGAAAATTTTAATATTTTAAGAAACAGTGGAGTAAATGAATGAATAAAGCTGATCACAGCTGTCCTGAGGAATGTATGAGTCAATTTACTAGCACAGCTGAAACCTATTTATGTGATGCAGTTGTTGGGAGGTTCTAATTCAGCCTATCAACTAACTCATCAGTCAACACTTTGTTGGTATTAATCACCTGAAGGTGTGACAAAGCAACTAGGAACTTTTGGGGACACAAAAAATAAAATGTACGGTCACTTACAGTCACTCTCCTACCTGGTCTTCTCCACCAAAAGCTTCATTCCCATAGAAGGTTTATTTGGTATCTCAGACTCTCATATGGATTTCTTATACCCCAAATGATATTTAAACTTGTCACATAAAAACTGCATGTTCTGAATCTAATCGTTAATGCGTTCTTTGTGTCACTAATAACTTCTGTTGACATGTCCACTAGATTACAAAAGACTGAAGAATGTACATCTGTTCATTGTTCTTGCTGCACTGATTTCCTACCTAAATAATTTATTAAATATCTTAATGGAGTTGTTCAAGGAATACTAGTTAGTGTGGTTGCTTTGACACAAGCCCCTGCTTGTGTATGCTGGTGTATGTACCTGCTTGCTTGCATGTGTACTCATAGCACAAGGCAGCTGCCTGGTCACTCCCTGGCCTCTGTCCTATTCCAGATGTATATTACAAGCACAATCAAGACGAAGAGCAGTCGACTGGCCAAGCCGGTGCTGTGCCTCGGAACTCTCTGCACAGCCTTCCTGACAGGCCTCAACCGGGTCTCTGAGTATCGGAACCACTGCTCGGACGTGATTGCTGGTTTCATCCTGGGCACTGCAGTGGCCCTGTTTCTGGTAGGTTGACTTCCCTCTTTTTACCTTTTCCCCCTCTTCTACTCTCTGAAAAACTGTGAGTCAGGTTTCCCAGACTTCACCATCTGTGTTCCTTTCGTCCCAACCTTGTGAATTACAATTATTCTCCAAGTATTATACATGCTTTTGCTACAAAAATGATTTCAAAACACTCTTTCCTTTCAGAAACTGGATTGCCAAATTCCTTCTGGGTGGCAGGGAGAGAATTGCCCCTAGAAGTACAGCTGGCTCTACCCCTTTCAACACTGGGCTTGGGACTGGGGCCAAGCAGACTAATGATAAATTGGCACACCTTCAAACCAATCTTCTCTAAGTATTTGTTCTCAGCATATTGGGGGCAAAAGCTAAGTGTTCCTTGAGGGAAGAATAGAGAATGAAGAGCACTGGTAGAAGCAAGCAGCCTCTTCTCCAGCATCCCAAGAAACTCAACTCTAATTCCAAAGTTGCATCTCCTACTCGGAAATTTTAAAAACCCTGCAGATGATCACACCCGCCCTTTTTAGTGGGCCTCTGTTACTATTGGAACATGCCTCTTGGGAATCTTACTTCCGCTAAACTGGCTTCTCAACCACCTATCTTCCTGGAGAAGAGTTTTGGTTAATACATTTTTCTTGTATTTCTGATTATGTTTTAGTTCCCCAAATAGATGGAGGTCTGGCCACCTGCTCACCTAGGAAATCCCTTAAATTGAGTTGGAGTTGATAAAAAGAGGTTAATTTTTATTCTTTTTGCCTTCTCTTTCACGGTTGTATTGAAGTATAATAGGTATACAATAAATGACACATCAAGTATACAATTTGATCAATTTTGGCATACAACTTTCTCACCCTTCCTTTTCCCTTATCCCCAGGCAACTGGTGATCTTCTGTCATTCTATATTAGTTTGCCTTTTCTACGATTTCATATTAATTGAATCATAATGTATTTTTTCAGGTATCTTTCACCTAGCATAATTATTTTGAGATTCATCTATGTTGTAGAATGTATCCATAATTCCTTTTTATTGCTGTGTAGTATTCCATTGCATGGTCACACCTCAGAGATGCAGATTTCTATTATCTTCAAGGACTTAAAACAGGCCCAGAAAAATTTATGATGAATCATCAGGCCTGGAGACTTATACTGTGCATGAAATGAATCCCCTAACAATGTTCAGGAAGCCTCCCCAAGGAGAAAGAAGCCATCACAGTCTTGTAGGACCTCCCTCCTCCTATTCTGCCCTCTCTGGTCCAAGATCCATTTGGATTGGCATCACACATAGCTGGATTTCAGTCATAGGACTTAACACACTTCCTTTTCCTAGCCCCTCTTCCTTCCCTCCCCAATATGCAAAATACACACATGCCTCTCCCAGCCTCTAACTTGGTTTTCCAACTTGTAAAAAATCTAAGATACAGACAATGCTCACATTCAGAACATTGATTGGGAAGCTTCTTTCTAATTCAAAATGACAGGCATATCTCAGAGATAATGCAGCTTTGGTTCCAGACCATTGCAACAGTGAATATCACAGTAAAGCTAGGCACACAATTTTTTGGTTTCCCAGTGCATATAAAAAGTTATGTTTACATTATTCTGTAGTCTATTAAGTGTGCAATAGCATTATGTCTAAAAAAAAAAAAACCAATGCAGTTACCTTAATTTAAAAGCACTTTATGGCTTTAAAAAAGTGTTGACGCAGACACAAAGTGAGCATGTGCTGTTGAAAAAATGGTGCCAATAGACTTGCTGGACAGTGTTGTCAAAAAGCTTCAATTTAAAAAAAAAAAAAATATCTGCAACATGCAATAAAGTGAAGAGAAATAAAACAAAAATGTGCCAGTATTTTGAATGGATCCAGGCATTCTTCCTATAGTGAAAGATGAAAAACTAAAATGCAAATACTCTGGATGAAGTTGCAGGAAAAGCAGTGCTGAAGTCATCATAAAATCTTGATATCTCATTAGGAACTTTCCTGAGGAACGCCTTTTAAAAACATTTTATGGATACATAGAAGTTACACATGTTTCGGGGGTATGTGTGATATTTTGATACAAGCATACAATGTATAATGATCAAATCTGGGTAACTGGGATATCCATCACCTCAAATACTGTTACTTTGTGTTAAGAACATTCCAAATCTATTCCATTTATTTTGAAATATACAGTAAATTATTGTTAATTATTGTCACTCTACTGTTATAGTGAGCAGGCCTCATTTTTTCCATCTGACTGTATTTTTGTACTGATTAACCAACTCCTCTTCCCCCTATCGCCTACTACCATTCCTGAGGAATTTTTTTAAGAAGGAAAGAAAACAGGTGACTTGAAGGGAAGAGAAGGGTTTCAAAGGGAGATCAATGGTGTATAAATAGACTTTGGCTCAAGAAAAGACAAACAATGTTGCTGACCATCAGTTCTAAAGCCGCCATCCCCAGTTAGAGAGGAAGAGCCATTCTGACTGTTCCAAGCAATTTTGTAGGGTCTTTGTGGGATGATATTGGGGTTTGCTGAAGCCCCATACACAAATCCTGCTTCAACGTTAAACTTGTTTTCTCTCCATAACATGCAGCCCTGTTTCTCATCACTCAGTAACTACTCAGTCTGCTAGTGCTTTCAAGTGACTTCCCAATTGATGTCAAAATTTGTTTGCCTACAAATGGCCTTTACGTAAGACCCAGATCTGTGGTTGAATTGCTCTGGCATAAGAGAGACCACCCTGTTGGCACATGCATGTGAACACACCTCACAGACACACACAAAGCTGGGAAATGGGAGGGGAAGGATGTCCTGGAGGAGCCTGGAGGCATTCCAAAGCAGAGACTTGGAGAGGAGACAGAAAAAGAAGAGCAAACACTGAGAATGGCAGGATATCTACTGTAAATGTTCAATAGTGCTTTATGTTTGTGGTTCCCATGAGGCGGAATGTGGGAGGAAGGGGAAGGAAGTTATTAGCTGAACAAGTACCACATGCTGTATGCTTTATAGACAGCTAATCAAGTGCCCCCAGGGCAACTCTAACAATATTCCTATCCTCATTTTATAGATGAGGAAAATGAGGCTCAAAGATAAGTAACTTGCCCAATAGCCATGCAACCAATAACCAGCAGAGGGACCTGGGTCTCTCCACTCCAAAGTTTCTACAGGTTCCCCTCTTCCCAGTTAAAGCACAGTGTAGGGTCCTCGGGCGCGGTGGCTCACGCCTGTAATTCCAGCACTTTGGGAGGCCGAGGCCAGCAGATCATGATGTCAGGAGATCGAGACCATCCTGGCTAACACGGTGAAACCCCGTCTCTACTAAAAAATACAAAAAAGTAGCCAGGCGTGCTGGTGGGTGCCTGTAGTCCCAGCTACTCGGGAGGCTGAGGCAGGAGAATGGCATGAACCCGGGAGGCAGAGCTTGCAGTGAGCCGAGATCGTACGACTGCACTCCAGCCTGGGTGACAGAGTGAGACTCTGTCTCAAAAAAAAAGAAAAAAGAAAAAAGCTGAGTGTAAGAGTGAGATGGAGATGAGCCAGGTAGAGAGGATGCATGCCAATGTGCTACAGGGTTTGAAGAGTAGCAGGAAAGATTCGAACATGCTGGATGAAGAAACAAAGAAAGTATGGAAAGAGGCAGGGAAAAGGAGGGTTCTTCTTGGGCAAAAAAAAAAAAGCAGGGAAGATGGTAGAAACAGTCAGTTATGAAAAGACCTTGGCAGGAAACAGAAAAGTGGGCAGTAACTTACAGGGAAAGTTTTAAATGGAAGCGATAAAAGAAAACTCAAGAGTTATCTAATCTCAAGCAAATAGTCATAATCTGAAGATGACTATCTAAGGTAAGAGTTAAAGACCAGCTAACATGGACTGAATACTTGCTATGCATTTGGCACTTTTTAAGGGGCAAAATAGTATAGGGATATGATTTAAGGGCTCTGGAGTTTCAATCTCTGTGTGACCTTGGGCAAGTTAGATAACTTCCCTGTGCCCCCCTATCTAGACTGGAGATAATAGTACCTCCCTTATGAAATTGTTGGGTGGGTTAAGTGAAATTGGATAAAATCCTCAGGGTCGTGCCAGACACATAGTGGCCCTCAATAAATTTTAACTATTATTATGAGGTGGTTTGCATTCACCATGTCTTTAATCATTACAAATCTGTGAAGTGGGTATTACTATTCTTATTTTACAGGTGAGAAAACAGACCCAATGGGGTGGAGAGCGATTATTACTGGTCATCTGGTGATTAAACAGACGTTTCCACAGCACTTCCCATAGTCCCTTTCCCCTCTCTCAAAGGAAAAAGGTCACTCTGGTGATGATATTCAAGGGGAAAGGCCTGCCACCCTCACAGATGCCAGGCATTGATGGCTGCAGTCTGACCCCATTCTTTTTTCCCCCTCATCCTGCAGGGAATGTGTGTGGTTCATAACTTTAAAGGAACGCAAGGATCTCCTTCCAAACCCAAGCCTGAGGATCCCCGTGGAGTACCCCTAATGGCTTTCCCAAGGATAGAAAGCCCTCTGGAAACCTTAAGTGCACAGGTATGGTAAAGCAGTTTTAGCAAACCAAACCCACAGGCTGAACACTTTGGGAGGTCAGTATCAATCCATGAATACCACTTAATCTACCCAGCATCAATGAGAATCTGATTAATTTATTGTAAAGGCCCTCACAAAAGGCAGCCTTCACTTTTTCCCCTCAATTATTCCTATATTTATTCCGGGGGTTGGGGCAATCATGAATCCTCAGAGAGTTCTTAGTAATGTCTAACTTAAACCTTAGCTGTTTCAGGATACTTTGACCTACAATATAATATCACATTCATGAAATTTGCACTAATCATATGGAAAAAAGCAATTTGACTTAATAACTAGGATCATATTTGGAAAGAAAAAGGTTGTGTTACACACAGTGATGTAAGTTGGAGGCACATTTTAAAAGGCTACTAAATGTCCCTTTGGACCTGTTTTTGTGACAAAAATTCAATGCAACAGTACCTCCTGATCTGTTACTCTACAACAGAACCTTGCATCATACCAGGGATACAAAAAATAATTGATATAGTCCTTGCCCTCAAATAACTCATAGATAAGGAGCAGGCATGGTGGCTCACACCTGTAATCCCAGCACTTTTGGAGGCCAAGGTGGGAGGATTGCTTGAAGCCAAGAGTTGAAGACCAACCTGGGCAATGTAACAAGTCACCATCTTTACTAAATAAATAAATAAATCACAGATGATCAGGAAAGGTGGATATAAATAGGTAGTCATAATATGACATGCTGAATCAGAGGTGCACAAAGTGCTGTATGAATACAAATGAAGGGGAAAAAAATCTACTCCATGTGAGAAGACAGGGAAAGCCAGGAAGACGACTTGCCAACTGAAAGGAGCCTGGACAGATGATATGAAGCACTTAATTTTTCCCAGGACAATTGCTAGGAGCTTTACAAATATATCATTACTTGAACAACCACCCTATTGAATAGATACTATAATTCCTATTTCACAGGTAAAGATAAGAATGCAGAAGACAGGCCGAGCGTGGTGGCTCACGCCTGTAATCCCAGCACATTGGGAGGCCAAGGCAGGTGAATTGCTTGAGCCCAGGAGTTTGAGACCAGACTGGGCAACATGGCAAAACCCTGTCTCTACTAAAAAAATACAAAAATTAGCCCGGCATGGTAGCGCATGCCTGTAGTCCCAGCTACTCCAGAGGCTGAGGTGGGAGGAGTGTTTGAGCCTGGGAGATTAAGACTACAGCGTGCTGTGATCGCGCCACTGCACTCTAGGCTGGGTGACAGAGTGAGACCCTATCTCAAAAAAAAACAAAAACAAACAAACAAAAAAAACACTGAAGACAGTGATGTTAGATTACCTGCCCGAGGTTGTATAGGTAGCAAGTAGGAAAGCTGGATGAGTAGGAGTTCTTTAAGCAGATGGGGGACAACTAATAATATGATTTTCATTAGCATGTCATCTTTTTCGGGTAGCTGAGCCCGGCTAAAGTGTTTATGTTTTGTCATAGTCTGTTTATCGTAAAATCTTGTTTGCATTTGGCATTTTCCTACTCAAGCATTTTTATAGAAGATATAAAAGATAAATCACTTCCCTTTGTTCCCTTTGGAATTATTATGTACTTCATATCAGTGCAATATAAAATAATATTTTCACTATTTAACGATTATTAACTATGACATCTCTCTAAGACAAACTACCCTATGCTCTTTTTTCCCCCGCTGAGATGGAGTCTCACTCTTTCGCCCAGGCTGGAGTGCAGTGGCACAATCTCGGCTCACTGCAGCCTCCGCCTCCGGGGTTCAAGCAATTCTCTCGCCTCAGCCTCCCAAGTAGCTGGGACTACAGGCACGCGCCACCACGCCTGGCTACTTTCTTGTATTTTTAGTAGAGACGGTTTTTTGCCATGTTGGCCAGGCTGGTCTCAATATCCTATGCCTTTTTACCTTTAATTAAATCTAATATTATTAATGAACCAGGTTTTGAGGGCGGGGCTTGGGGGGGTTGGAACAAGAAATCTACCTCCGTATCTCCATTTTAGGAAAAATATTTAAGGTTCTCCATTAATACAGTACCAAGTATTGTTTTGTTTTCCCTTAATTTGTATTAAGGCTAACATTTTAACTTGGTCTAGAAATAAAATATTAACAAAAATATTTCTGGTTTATTTATATACAGCCTGTTGCTACAGGTTAAATATCAAATTAGCTAAATAGCGATACCCTGTAATGAAATAGTGAAATAGAATCTCTCTAACTTTTCTTCCCTAATTACAATCCTGTGTTTA
Organism: Homo sapiens; assembly: GCF_000001405.40. Taxonomy (NCBI): domain Eukaryota; kingdom Metazoa; phylum Chordata; class Mammalia; order Primates; family Hominidae; genus Homo; species Homo sapiens. The sequence continues at coordinate 101,319,759 of NC_000009.12, forward strand.
GTGAAGTCAGAGAGGGTCTCTATTTTGGGGTGGTAAAATGAAAACAAGTGAATTTTAAAAAGAAACAGAAAATATTTGCTGAGTTCCATAGACATACCAGTCTCTGTGTCCTTGTAAATGCTATCCCCCGAATATCCTGATATAAGAACACCCCTTTTGCACACCTCATCCTTCCACCCAGCACTGCTCAAGCATGACATCTGTCTAATGTCTTCCCTAGACTTCTTTCTCTCTTAATTCTCAGGGCCACTGATGGTTGATCAGGCCTAGAGATGTCCAGACTCTATTTTGAGGGATTCTACTTAAATTGAAAAATGAAGTGCTAAACAGGGTTTCAAAAAATGCTATTCACAAGATAAAGGATTCTTAAAATAGATATTAATTCATTGTTTACAGGTAGTAGTTGAACTTCTCTCAAACCTGTCAACAGATCTTTGTGATTATGGATGCCGCCTCATATGGATACAATTTGAGGCCTTGCCCGAATACCAGGCTTGGGCCAAAGGACCCTCCAGACCCCTCTCATGTGACTGTCACTCATAAGTAAAGCCAAGTGTTCCCTCATGTCTGCCTCCTCCAAAGACTTGGGACTTTTTGAGGACCCTATAAACCATGTCTTATTTACCATGTATCCTGGCATCCACTAGGTGTGAAATACATATTGATGGATGAATACAAACTTGTCCCAAAACCTAAAGTAGACACTTTAGCCAAAACCAAGAACCTCAAATTTGACCATAATCACTATTTGAACATCCACGGAAAGTAGAGATTTATAAGAAACTATGAGAAGGACTTCTGCAGGCTAGCCAGAATGAAGCCACAGAAAGCTAAAGAGAAGTATTGCCTCTCACATTATGCTATCCATACCAGTCGTGAAAAATGCAAGTCACCAAGCATCTGTTTTTAGTAATAAATGTTTCCACATGGATAGTTAGAAAGATAAACCCTTTATTTGTTGGTCAAGAAAAGAGAACTAGCATTTATTGAGAGTCACCTCATTTAATATTCATGATACTGTATTGGTTTTATTATATCCTATTTTATAGATGAAGAAAGTAAGGCACCAGGTTTAAGTAATATGCCCAAGGTCACCCAGTCAAAATTAAATGAAGACCCATCCAATACTGAGGCCCTGCTGGTTCTCCTACACCACACAGTCTGAGATTTCATTCAATGAAAATTCTTTTTTGAAATCCACAACTCCCAGCATTGAATATGAAAACATGCTACAGGGGGCTGGTATACTGAACCTGAGCTACAGTTTTTCCAAAGTAAATACCCCCCTGTGAGCAAGAACTTCCCTTGCAACTCCAACAGCCATGGTTTCTGTTAGAAACGGCATCTTTGTAATTTTTGGAACAGAACCATCTTCCCAGCATGTGGACCTTTTCAGATCAGAGATTAGAACCTCTCTTCAGAGCACACATTCGTACACATGAAATCCATCCCACTATTCAAAATATCTTAAGGAGAAGACTGGATGGGGAGGGCATCAGTCACGCTCGTTTCCCTTTCTCCCAAGACATTCTTTCCCCTTTGCCACATGCAGCCCTCAGAGCCACAGTGCTCTGGGCCTCTCTAAAACATTACCTCAAATTTGAATATCTACCTTCTGTGATTCCCCTTAGTATAGTTGATTGAGATGGGGTGCATTTTCTAAAATCTTTCCCAAATACCATAGAGAAACCAAAAAGTAAACAATTATAAAACAAAAATAGTCAAGTTTTTCAAAGCATTATTTTATGATTGTATAAAGTTGTTGGGATCCCAAAGGAACCAATTCTTAATTATCCATGTTCTACACCCCGCCCCACTCACAATGTACATGAGCAATCAGCTGAGTGTTGTTCAGTTGAGTTCTTGTCCACACAGTTTCTAATAACAAAAATTAAATTAGAAATGAAACAACTGTGTTAACTCACTCTGGATGTGGTATAGAGTCTCCAGATGTCTTCCCCATGGGGGAAAAATATATATAATTATATAAAATATATATTAAATATAGATACATATATACACTAATATATATTTATATACATATATAAGTATATATATATGTTACATACATACATATCATTTAATTTTGATTGGTGACCTTGGGCATATTACTTAAACCTGGTGCCTTACTTTCTTCATCTATGTATGTATATATACTTATATATGTATACATATATAGTTAAAAGATACTTATACATATTTAATATATATTTTATATCACCTGAGGTCAGGAGTTCAAGACCAGCCTGGCCAACATGGTGAAACCCCGTCTCTACTAAAAATACAAAAATTAGCCAGGCGTGGTGGCAGGCGCCTGTAATCCCAGCTACTCAGGAGGCTGAGGCAACACAATCGCTTGAACCCAAGAGGCATGGGTTGCAGTGAGCCGAGATTGTACCTTTGCACTCCAGCCTGGGGGACAACAGCAAGACTTCATCTCAAAAAAAAAAAAAAAAAAAAAAAAAAAAAAGACAGAAATCAGGAAAGCAATAATAATAATTAGATCAAAGCCACAGTTTGTTAAAGATTTAATAATTTCATAGACCCAAAGCATTGAGTTTTAAGTTCAAATAAAAGACAAGACTTTAGGTTTGCAAGAAGTGGGAGGTTATATATATATATATTTTGTTGTTGTTGTTTTAATTGAATGCTTCCATTTGATGAACCTGGAGCAGTTACTATCTGCTGCTAAAGTTTCTATTATATTACCAATGCAAGAAAAAAAGTGTCCTTGAGCTTTCTGTCTGATTGTGGCAGCCAAGATTGAATAGAGGAGTAATGGCAGGGAAAACATGGAGAGAGAATTTTTGCAACTCAGAAATAACCTTGTAAACAGTGAAGAGCCCATTTTACTCAAAAGAAGAACCTAAATATCCACCCTCACCTAGTTGATTACATGTATAAAAGCTTAATAGTTAAAACTAATTAAAAGCCAGCCAGTGACAAAAATATTTGACATAATTACAAGGAAAATGGATGAATCCTCAGTCACAGGAGATTGTAATACTTTTCTCTTATTAATAAGCAAACAAAAATAGTAAGGATACACATGATCAATAAGGTTGATCTGATGTGCATTATATATAACCCTCCTCAAAACACATGAAACATTATGAAAATGCATCGTATACAAGACCATGATACAAGTCTCAAGAAAAACATTTTAATGGATCTGTATTATGTAAGCCACATTTTCTCTAGCCAAAAAAGTTAAACTAAAAACAAACCCCCCAAAAATTCTATACATTTTGAAATAATAAACTCACTTCTATGTAATTTGTGACTCTAATGATAAAACATGTAGAAAGGTTTTAAACACTAGAGCTGTTTCATATTTAAAACATTACATTAAAAATGTGCGGGATGCTAAATTACTTTGAGGCTCTTAAATGTTTATATTAGAAAATACTTAAGCATAAGACAGAATTATATAGAGAATAAGTTTAGGTGAAGATGCTAGGCACAGTAGCTTGTGCCTGTAATCCCAGCACTTCGGAAGGCCAAGGTGGGAGGGTCAGTTGAGCCCAGGAGTTCGAGACCAGCCTGGGCAACATAGTGAGACACTGTCTCTACAAAAAATTTAAAAGTTAACCAGGCATGGTGGCATGTGCCCAGTGTCCTACCTACTCGGGAAGCTGAGATAGGAGGATCACTTGAGCCCAGCAGATCAAGGCTGTACTCCAGCCTGGGTGACAGAGTAAACCCTGTCTCAAAAAAAAAAAAAAAAAAAAGTTTGGGTGAAGAAGTTATCCTATTTTGGATGAAAAATCAGGGAAGTTTTAATAAAAAGAGGTAAGGAGGCCAGGCATGGTGGCTCATGCCTATAATCCCAGCACTTTGGGAGGCTGGGGCGGGTGGATCACCTGAGGTCGGGAGTTCGATACCAGCCTGACCAACATGGAGAAACTCTGTCTCTACTAAAACTACAAAATTAGCCGGGCATGGTGGTGCATGCCTGTAATCCCAGCTACTTGGGAGGCTGAGGCAGGAGAATTGCTTGAACCCAGGAGGGAGAGGTTGCAGTAAGCTGAGATTGCACCATTGCACTCCAGCCTGGGCAACAATTGTGAAACTCCGTCTCAAAAAATAAAATAAAAAAACCAAAGAGGTAAGGGAAATTCAGGGGCCTTGGAAAAGCATATTAGGGGGACGGAACAGCCTGTGTACCCTTGAGGAGACAAAACAAGGGAATATTTAGGGACAAGTGAGTGTGCACGTGTCAGGCAACCCTATCTCAGATTTTATCTGCTTGTGTTTGCTCCACAGAATCACTCTGCGTCCATGACCGAAGTTACCTGAGACGACTGATGTGTCACAAGCTGTTTTTTAAAATCATCTTCCAATTCTATACTTCAAAACACACAGTTGCTCAATGTCAAACTGTGATGACAAATATTACGTTTATCTAGTTAGAAGCTAATGTTTTGTACATTTTTTGTATGAGGAAGTGATGTAGCTTGCCCTGATTTTTTTTTTTTTTTTTTGGTCAGCTTTAATATATTTATGCCAGAATTTTAAAACCAACAAAATTTTCTTGTTCAAGCGTGCATTGAAGAACCACATTTATTCAATGGTTGACGTTGTTTTGTGATATTTGTACACAAATTTTCTTTTCTCAGTTTTATAAACACAGAATATAACAATTCACTTTAAACTTTTATTACCACAGTTGCTGCCTCCTCCAGAATTTTTGAATTTTAATAAAAGGCAAACTTTTGAGCTGCAGGAAGGACAATGTTGGTTAATAATAAATCTCAAAGTCAATTGTAGAAAAAAAATTGTCTTCAAAAAGAATGTTGCACTCTGATCTCTTAACAAATTGTTACGTTCAAAGTTTAAAGTGATATATTAACAAAGTCACCTAGTTATACAAACAATTGTCAGAGAATTCTGGATTTGGAGGGTATTGGGGTTATATGATTCTTTCTTAGATAATGGCCTCTACTAAATAACTCAAGATCTTTCTGGAATGTCTTCTGGCAGGCAGGTGCCACTGTCAGCTTTTCTCCAAAAAGCAGCCAACATCAGCCTCCCCTGTCAACTCAACAGTTTTGTATCTCATATTATATGGACTTTATATGAAAATGAATATTTTACAGTTTGCACAGTATTATTTTACAGAAAAGGAATCAGAGAATCTACAACATAGGGCCCCAGAACAACAGTTTCACTTTGTGGCTTTTAATTATTCTAGAATTTTAACTGCATCTCATTTTTCTAGCATGGTGAGAACTAATATGTAACTCCTTTGATTGAAGGAGCTCTTTTGTCCGTACCTATCAGAATGTTTTCTTGACACTTCCATGTTGGCTCTTCTCAGCTTTTTTTGTACATATTTTTTTTTTCTAAAGAGAAGAAAAAGTTATCACAAAATGTATTCTGGCTCATGTCTTTTGTCTTAAGCTTTATCCACAGGACAAAGGTATTTGAAGAGTCATGATGAAGTGAACTCAAGTGTTTACACTGTTCAGTTCCACGTCTGCTGAAATAAATTCTAATAGGGGCATGACTGAGGGATAGCTTCACAGGTGTGTGTGAGAATATGTGAGTGTTTAGGCAAATAAAATTCTTTAAATTATTAAGATACTCAGAAACATTCTGGATCCCTAGCACGCTCCCTCTACCTTCAGCCTACCCATAGATACTTCTGAGTTGTCAATAAAAAGTTAGATAGTAGTTTTTAAGAACAAAAGTTACCTCTGCTAAAATTTTTCATAATCCCCCATCTCATTCTGGCCTAAGCTTACCTATGCACATACAATGTCATACACATCTTCTGGGTGATATCTGACTACAGTTAGGAGAGGGAACCAAAGAAATTTCACAAACATAATCTGTCTGTTTTCAAAACACTGAGCCCAGTGAAGCTGTGACAAAGCCAAAGGAGTACGATATATGTCAGCAGTAATATCAAAACCCAGGTCTGCCCAACTCCAAATTTCATTCTTTCCACTACATCAAGATATGCCTTTGAACCGAGTCCACATCTTTTCATGGGTTTTCAGTGTAATAAACCTACTTATCTGGTTTAAGGGATGCTGCTGGAAGAAAAGGAAACAGTGAGAAGGAATAATTTGTAAGCTCTGGGCTCTCCAATCCTGTATAAGCTACCTACCTGTAATGTCACGCAATTTCAGAATGATTTTTCTTTTTCTAAACATATTTTAGGATTTTTTAAAAAGAAACAATGAGGGATTCATTTTATTTTATTGTTCATCATAAGACATGCTGAAAAATGCTGGCAGTCTAAATTGCTTTTACATTACCCATTTCTTGTCACAATGTATCTGGCTACCAGATAGCATTTCTAAGAACATAAGTTGGTAGAGTGAGTCATGTTATCCTTCTATTCTTCTTTCTAGTTCTGATTTTAAAGGGACCTATCTGTAGTATTCCAGGAGCTTTGGCCACAGACTCCATTTTCCTGGCCTTGGACTTGGGAGATGGTGTATGACTGAGCCATGCTGAGACAGCACTCTGGTCCACTTGGAGCTAAGGGGCATCTCTGGACTCCTACCCCTGGAATCCCTGAGTCTGATTCCCTACCACTATGGCATGGCAACTTTAGTGTTGCCTCCTATTTAGCCCCAAGACACTTCACAGGCCTCACACTGATCTGTCAAGTCTGTCATTCGAAATTCTTCAGGCTAGAGACTCCTCCATGTGGGTTGCCTGCCAAGGAAAAAGCCGTCTGTCCAAATAGGACAAGTGGCGACTGTAGCCTCAGAGAATGAATTCTGCAGTAAACTTTTCTCTTTTTAAGGAAAGCCCACAGGTGCATGAGAAAGTCTGACTCTTCTTGGAAGAGGAAAGTGGGGGAGGAGAGAGAAACAAAGGAAGGCTAGCCAGGTGTGTTGACATAAGCAACCTCATGAAGCTGTTAGCCCCTGTGTTTATCTATGATGTCTTTTTTTTTTATTCTGTGCCAAGAACATCACCTGACACAGAAAAATCACTTAGTTAAAATTTCTGTAATACACAAATAGATGCCAGACTTATTCCTACTTTGGCTAAAGGGAGACTATGACTCATTTGGAAATAAAGAGGATTTTAGCGGAGCCTGAAGATAGCTGAAAGATGAATACATTTAGATGCAGGACTAACAATGGTGAGGAAACTGCACTTACCAGCTAAACATGTGGGTGCCCCTTTTGGTAAGTTCTAAATATCTCCCTATCAGGCTGTGATAGACAGATGGGCTATATGTAGCTGAAAATATAGCCCTTCAGGAGAGAATATGTATTCTGTACTGAATCAGAGAATGCAAGCAGGCAAAATTCTACCCTCAAGATGCAAGAGAGTAGGAATCACTGGGATGATATAAAGAGTGAAAGAACCACAAGTGGCATTTTTGTTTCAAAAATCTGATTAGACTCCCTATTACAGGCAACTGCCAGAACCTCTCAAATGTGTTCAGTGTCTTAGAGGTAAATACATCAAATACCAGATTGCCGAAGTCTGTTTTAAGGAGTAGATTACATTATGGTCATTATACTATTCCTGCTCTTATCGGAGGAACCCACCCCCAAAATTTCAACATAGGTTCTTTCTATTTTCCATAAGTGTCAGCAGGCTGAGAAATAAAGATAGACAGTATAAAAAGAGGAATTTTACAGCTGGGCTGCTGGGGGTGACATCACATATCAGTAGGACTGTGATGCCTGCCTGAGCCTCAAAACCAGCAAGTTTTTATGAAGGGTTTCAAAAGGGGAGGGGGTGTGAGAACAGGGAGTAGGTATAAAGATCACATGCTTCAAAGGGCAAAAAGCAGAACTACTACTAAGGATCTAACAAAGATCACATGCTTCTGAGGGAACAGGACAAAGGGCAAAAGCAGAACTATACTGATAAGAGTCCAACAAAGATCACAGGGCAAAGGGCAAAAACAGAACCACTGATAAGGGTCTATGTTCAGCGGTGCACATATTGTCTTGATAAACACCTTAAATAACAGAAAACAGGGTTCGAGAGCAGAGAACCGGTCTGACCACAAATTTACCAGGGCAGAGTTTTTCCCCATCCTAGTAAGCCTGAGGGTACTGCAGGAGACCAGGGCTTATCTCAGTCCTTATCTCAATCACACAAGACAGACACTCCCAGAGTGGCCATTTATTGACCTCCCCCCAGGAATGCATTCCTTTCCCTGGGTATTAATATTAATATTCCTTGCTTGGAAGAGAATTTTGCAATATGTCTCCTTCTTGCGCGTCCATTTATAGGCTCCCTGCAAGAAGAAAAATATGGCTCTTTTTGCCTGACCCCACAGGTAGTCAGACCTTGTGGTTGTCTTCCCTTGTTCCCTAAAAATCATGGTTGTTCTGTTCTTTTTCAAGGTGCACTGATTTCATATTGTTTAAACACATGTTTTACAATCAATTTGTACAGTTAACACAATTATGACAGTGGTCCTGAGGTGACATACATCCTCAGCTTATGAAGATAACAGGATTAAGAGATTACAGGCGTAAGCAATTATAAAAGTATTATTTTGGAACTGATAAATGTCCATGAAATCTTAACAACTTATGTTCCTCTGCTGTGGTTCCAGCTGGTCCCTCTGTGTGGGGTCCCTGGCTTCCCACAACATGCTCTGTTGAATTCAAGACATGTACTAGAACTAGCATGTCATTTACTATCATCCCCTATACTACTATAGGGATTTTTAAATAAATACCAAATCCCTTGCTCACATCCTCATTCTTGATCCAGATTGTTCCAGAATTGATAGATGCATTCACTTATTCAATAAGTACTTAATGAGCATCTATTATGTGCTAAGATCATGTGAAGAACTGGAGATACATAACAAAATAAACAGACCTATTTCTTACCCTTACAAAGCTTAGAGTGGGATAAGAGGAGAACCAACACAAAATATTTAATATATAAATGTTTTTAAGGGACTCCTGATTTAGACAGGGAAGATAGAGTTATCAGTTAAGGCTTCTCTAAAGAAGTGACATACATATTGGGCTATTCAGAATAAGGAGGTAATGAGACAGAAACCCTAAGGAAAGTCATATCAGGCCAAGGGAACAGCACATACAAAAGCCCTGAGGCAGGAAAGAGCTTTATACATGTGAAGAACTGAAGGCTGGCTGGTGAGTAAAGGGGAAAAAGATATTTAATGATACTGAAGATCAGAGATCTTGGAGGACTTGTTATGGACTTTGAATTTATCCTAAAATGGTAAGAAGCCCTCAGTGGACAGGAAGCCCTCAGTAAACAGGAGAATGGCATAGTTAGATTTGTATTTTTAAAGGATCCCTCTGGGCTACATCTGTGTGTAGAAAGTGTAAGAGGGTATTGTGTTGGACTAAACATGATTATGATTGATGTAGGGTAGTGGCAGTAATGGTAAAGAGAACATGCATTGGAAAGATATGAAAAATATCTAGGAAGCAGACTCAACAGAGTTTGAGACCCAATTGTATGTGGTGGGATCATAGCTTTCAATAAACACTTTCTTCCTAGAGAACACTTTTCCAGATCTGATTCCCCCAACTCACAGGAGCCTGGTGACAGATGAAAAGCTGGAAAGGAAAATAAATTGAATTTGGATTTACTCTCTAGCCCATTGACCCATAACAGTTTTACTTCTCATGGAAACCCAGGTAACACCACACACACTTCTAACACTAGAAATGACTCTGCCAGGAAAATTAACTTTTGCACCTCGCCAAACTAGTGCCTCTGTCCTCATCCTGGCTTGTCATTTTGGTATCCTGTGTGTCAGCATCTATAAAAAGTTACATTTTGTGGCTTTCCTATCAAGCCAAGTAAAACCATGTGATCAATGGAGGGGAGGCTGAGGGTAAAGCTCTTTTCCTCAAAAGCATTCTCTTTCTCTTTAAAAGGAAGATGTGCTTACATTTCCCTATTAATCTTAATGGAATATCCATCTATCAATTTACTTCATGTTCTTTGGAACAGAGAACAACTCTTCCTTTGGGATGATGTTTAATGCTGTTATACAAAGTAATTTCTCTGTTGAATTGTCCTATAAGGCCAAAAGTTTTTTTCAACTTCAAGCGATGTTTTTTAGTATTTCAGGATTGGATAAATCCAGACTCACTAAAGTCACACAGACTTCTTATATGTATTTCTATACAAAATATGTCCCCTTTTTATTCCCCCTCTTGGCGGCCAAAAGTTTCTTTCTGTCTTTGTAGGGATGGTGCAGTCAGGTGTTTTCTCATCTTGGCATTTTTTGCTCTTCAGCAGCCATGGGGTTTAAGTGTGCGGGTGAGCAGGTGCAGCTCCACCACAGCAGCCCATTGTCTGGTGAAGGTTTCTCTGGTTCAGGGCCTGGGCCCAATGAGGTCCATACCTAGGGATAACTAACCAGTCACCACTTGTGGAATTAATTCATCATTTGAGGGATTTAAGTGTGACAACCTTGAAAACTAATTTCTGTACATTTGGCAAAATTAAGTCAAGCCTAGAAGGCAGACCCGGGAGCCAAGATTCCAGCAGAACCTTGCAAAGAAGAAAGCTGAAAAAAAAAAACCACATTTCATTATGCTGAAATCAGATCCCTGAAAAGTAAGACCTGGGTGGTGCTGATCCCAATGAGGGAACTCCAGTTCATTTTGTTTTTTAAATATAATGGCAACACCCACAATAGAACCTGGATGTATTCATGAAAGCCATGGGTAAAAGGAGGAATAAGAAAGGATGACATATCTATAAAACAAGAACACATTTTAAGAATCAGATCCAATTATAGAACATGAAAATTAAAAATGATCAAAATAAAACCCAAGAGATTAGCTAAATAGATTAGACACACCTTAAAAACAAGTTAGTAGGTTGAACAGTTAAACTGTAAAATTCTCCAAGGATGCAGGAGGAGAAAGTAGAGAGAAAAGTAAGAGAAAATTTTAATATTCACGGAGAATGAATCCAGAAGCTCCAAAATCCTCTTAATAGGAGTTCCAAGGAAGGAACAGAAAAAATGGAAAAGGTGAAGTGGTCAGATAATTAACAGAAGCAAATGTCCTAAAGCTGAAGGCAGATTGTCTTAGTTCGTTTGTGCTGCTATAACAGAATACATGTGACTGGGTGCTTAATAAAACAGAGAAAAGTATTTCTCACAGTTCTAGAAGCTGGGAGTCCAAAATCAAGGTGCCAGCAGGTTCAGTTGTCTGGTGAGGACTGCTCTGTTTCCAAGATGGTGCCTTGTTGCTGAATCCTCAAGGGAAGGAACACCGTGTCTTTATGTGGCAGAAAGCAAAAAGACCAAACGCTCCATGAAGCCTCTTTTTATAAGAACCCTAACCTCATCCACGAGGGAGGAAGCCTCATGGCCTAATCGCTTCTAAAAGGCCTCAGCTGTTAATACTATTACATTGTATGGCAACCCTCCCATTTTCAGGTGTTGGAACTTGATGTATATTACATTACATTAAGTGTTGAACATTAAGTTTCAACACCTGAAATTGGGAGGGACACCATACATTCAAACTATAACATAGAAACAAGTTTTTAGTTTGAAATAGGCCATATAGTGCCAGTCAAGATAAATTTAAAGAGTACTAATAAACCTAACCCTAGTCATATCTTGATGAAATCTCAGAACAAAGAGAAAATTGTAAAAATCTTCCAGAGAGAGAGAGAAAAAATCCCACAAAGTAAGGAGAATCAGACTTCTCATTGGCAAAAATTGTCACCGAAAAAAACCCCAAAGTGCTGAAGGAAAATAATTGTTAATATCAAATTCTTTCACTATAAAAATTATCATTAACATGTCAGAGCAAAAGATAGACATTTTCAGATGTACTAAGATTCAAATGAATATGAATCTTTCAAGGAATTATGTGAGCTTGTACTTTGAACAAATGGCAAAATAAAAGTAAAGCCAAGAATTTCTTAAAAATGAATTGTAAGACAGAGCAAGGATGCCAAAGTTATTGCTGTACATATAAAAAGAAAGAGCAAGGAAATTATTAAAGCATAGTTATTATTGTTAAAAATAATCTGAAATTAATGGGGGAATTCCATGGGAGAAAAAGATGTAGTACATACTAACATTCTTGTCTTTGGGGACAGAAAGGTAAATATCTTGAATATATCTCTTTTTTTAACTTTTTATTATGAAAAATTGTGGGCAAACATAAAAATAGAGAGATAATATAACAAACTTGACTACACCCATCATCTAAACTTAATAATTATTCACATTTTGCCATATTTCCATAGTATTTTAAATTACCAGATGTCACGACTCTATTATGCTAAATATGTCAGAACGCATCTCTAAATAGTGACTTTTTTACATAACCACAATGGTATTATTACACCTAACAAGATAATAACAATTCCTTAGTATCATTTAATATCCAGTCCATATTCAAATTTCTCGAATTATCCCCAAAATGTCTTTTTACAGTTACTTTATTCAAACCAGGGCCACACATCACATTTTGTTGATATGTCTCAAGTCTCTTTTAGTTCTGAAGTTAATTGCCCCAGCCCACTCTAGCCTTTCTTTTTTTCACGTAATTAACTTGTTGAAGAAACAAGGCAGTTGTCCCGTAGAATGACCCATACTCTGGATTTGTTAACTTGTAGGGCCATTTACCTTGTTCTCCAGATACCATAGTAATTATTAATTAATTGTTAAAGGCTTGATTAGTTTCAAGCCTACTCCTAGGATTAGTTTCACTACTCCTGAAACTGTCATTAGGAGTAGTTCTAAGCAGTGCTGGGTCCTCCACATTACATCCCATCATGAAGCATATGTCACTGACCCCTTTTACAGATGCTAAACTTAAGCAGTGAGTTCAGGTGGTAATAATCTGATTCCTTCATTGCAAAGTGACATTCCTCCCCTCCTCCTAGTAATGGCAAATTATTTACAGGATAACACTTTGTACTTTTGCAAAATCACTCTTGGGTTTAAACAGAACAAAAAGTAAATCAGAACTTTCTTAGAAATTAATGAAATGAGAGCACTGCATATCACAAAGCCAGGAAAATACAAAAGCGGCAGCAGAAAATAATTTATTTCTAAAAATCAGAAATCAATGAATCAGTAAAAAACAATTTGACCAAAAAATAAACCAAAAACTGTCCCTGGAAAAGATAAATAAAAGAGAAATATTTGGCAAATCAGGCTGAGAAGAAAAAGAAAACATGCATATAAACAATAGGGGCCATATCAAAAATTGTAAGAGAAAAATGTGTTCTAGAAAACATGGGTGCAATTCTGAAAAAATGTAAATGTCCAGATTGGCTCTAAAACAAATTTTAAAACCCACATTAATCAATATGAGAAATTAATTTATTAAAATTAGATACATAAGAAAAATTAGTCCATTAATGAATGAAATTCACCTCACTAACAGACTGGAGAAGGACAGCTTTATGAAAATAATAATGGCTAACTCTAGAATAGTAATTGCTGTGTGCCAGGCACTGTTCTAACAGCTTTAAAAAATATTAACTCATTTAATTAATAAATGCCACAAAGGCATTTGATAAAATTCAATTTTATTAAAATGGTAAATATATATTTTAGGAATAAATAGAAGCATCACTATTCTAAAAAAAGTAAGACTCTACTGGAAATCTATAGCAAGCATTATACTTAATGGTGGTTTTAGAACTTTTCATATCAAGTGTCAGAAACGCAATTCAAAATCGTTTAAACAGAAAATGTATTTCTGTCAGTAACTTGGAGTTTCTAGGGAATTTATCTAGATTGGCAATGCCTGGGCCCAGGGTATTGCTAACTGGGGTATAGAAGATTATTCAGTTTGCAAGGGGCCAGGTGTAGTGGCTTATGCCTTTAATCTCAGAACTTTGGGAGGCAGAGGCAAGAAGATTACTTGAGGCCAGCCTAACCAGATCCTGTCTCTCCAAAAAAAATTAGCTGGGCTTGGTGATACACACCTGTAATCCCGGTGACTCAGTAGGCTGAGGTGGGAGGATAGCTTAAGCCTGGCAGTCTGAGGCTACAGTAAGCCATGATCCTGGCACTGCACTCCAGCCTGGGTGAATGAACGTGCCTCTGTCTCAACAACAAAAACAAACAATAAAAAAATTTGCAAGGGTATCACCATTTTGAAATAATAATGTGCCTTAGTTCGTATAAACTAGGATTCAATTTACAAAAATTTGAAACACGTACCAATTTATGAGAAATACTTCCCATGAATGTGTGCCCGGTCCTTTGATTTTTGTCTGACCACCTTCCAGTTGATTCAAGATGACTGTGAATCCAGCCAAACTAGGAGAGCCCCCTCTCCCCACTGTGCTCTTGCCTTATCCTCGTTATCCTCCCACCCGCACTCCAGCCTCTGTCCACCCCATCATCACTCAGCTTTTGCTCAGAGTTTGCTTCTGGTCTTAATGAGGTGTTGCCTGAAGAATTTCTGGATCTCCCCCAAGGCGTGCTCCTGGGCTGCCGCATGAGCAGCAGCGTCTCCTCCCCAGAGCAAAGGCCTGGAAATGCCCGGGTTCCAGCACGCGAAGCACAAGGGAGCATAGGGCGGTTCTAGGAGGTGGCCTGCCCCGAGGTGCACCAGCATCCTCCCGCTGCTTCTGCCATGGCTCTGCAGCTGGTCCACGGCCTGCTCAGCGTACGCTTTGCTATCCAGGCATTCGTCACTCTCCCCAGCAATGAAAAGAATCCAACCCCTAGCCTTTTCAACAGGAAGCACACTCTGCTGATGGAGCCCATCTCGGGGAGTCTCCCTTACAGTGGCAGAGGAGCACAGCTCCAGAGACGTGGACCTGCAGGCGCTCCTGAGCTGAGCTGAGCTGAGCTGATGGGTGTCACAATCAGATCCCCGTATCTGAGTGGAACTTCAAAGCTGGCGTTGGGCCCGTTAATGCAGACGGTGGCCACCACCTGCTTCAGGTAGCAGGCCATAGCCAAGCCAATCTCGGCACCTTTGCACACGGAGATCACTCCAATTCCTGGCCTTTGGATCTGAAGCACAAAACAAAGGGAATCTGCTACAGGTCACAAGCTGAGAAAGAGCTGTCCCGGGCATGCCAATAAATAAGTATGATGGAAAGAGTCAAAGAAGGTCGAGTCTTGGCACTCAGATTTACCAGCTCCTGGGACTGAGAATGTTACCCACTTAACTCTCACTAACCTTTATTGTCTTGTAGGGATGATACCGACCTTGCAAGGCTGTTATGAGGATCAAGTGAAACAATAGAAATAAACACTCTTCATCAATAGTAGAGTTTTGTAAGGGCAAAAAGAGTCTAACCCACCAGTGATGCTTGGCATTACAAGAATAGAGCCAGGTAAGCTTTCTGAAGAATAAAATTCTTGTCTCTAGCCAGAAAAAAAGGGTGTTTTTCAGGTTCTCTCAAATATTATGTAAGTGGAATTCACATTTAAATAGCATTTTATAGCTACAAAGGTTTTGCCCATATATTACCTCCATAAATTCAACAGCTAATCCTGAAAGCAATGAGAGTATGAAGACAAAAGGCTTGGATTCAGTAAATAATTGAATTGTAGTACCAATAGGAAAAGGTAGTAGCTCATAGAGGAGGATCATTCGTTCTCTGGTAGACTGAGGGAGCTGAGGGGACATGAAAGGTCTGAAAGATGAGGGGGGAAAGGAAGGGCACTCTGGACAGACAACGACAGGTACATAAAGACCTAGTTTGTTTATTTTGCTCACAGTTGTGCCCCTAGCACTTCCTGTCATCAGAATCATCTGATTTTTTTTTTAATTTGAGCTTCCTGAGACTCAATTTTTCAAGTGTCTGTTCCCATAGGTATGAGTGGGCCCAAGAATCTGATACTGTAAAATGTCCCCCAAGGAAATTGGGAAACATCTGTGTGATTAATGAATAAGGGAGTGAAGGAGGATGGCTGTAACTGGAAGTCAGAAATTGACTAGTAGGCTAAAACAATCTCAAGGAGGACGAAGAAGGTCCTCCTTGAGAAAGACAGGAGTAGAACCTAAAACACTTGTGACTGGTTGAAGACTTGGGGAGAGAGGGAAGAAAATAGATGGGCAAAGATAACAAAGTGGTTTTTTTCAGAGTTTACTCTATGCTAGCTGCTATACACACATTATCTCAGCTGGTCTTTCCAATAGCCAAACTGGATTCAGGAAACTTAAAAGATTTGCTTAAGGCCACAACATTATCAAGGGGCAAAGGTGGAAATTGAAGCTTATCCCCTGAATCTAAATCTAAGTTGAATATCTGCAGTTGACTTTTCTTCCTCAGATTAATTTCACAAATAGTTAAATCTGAAATGGAAAAAAAATAATTTGAAAACATTTTAGTTGGGATTTAATTCTTTTTAGGCAATCTTTTAAAAAGACCCAAATAAGCTTAGAAAAATTACACATGTTTTCTCAACACTAAAGATGAAGATGTTGATAATGTCCCAATAGGAAACATATCCTCTCTCTCCTTGAGAAGAGTCAAGGCTCTCCAGGGTTGGGGTGGAAAAGAATAAAACATTTGAGGAAGTCAAAGATAATTTAATGGTTTGGAGCAAGGACCTTATCAGATTGTATCTGTCACTTACTGCCTATGTAGTTTTGACACATTACTTTAAATATGCTTTCTCATCTGAAAAATGAGGTTGCTGTTGATAGTACTTCATAAGGCTATTGTGAATGTTACATGAGACTTCATATAAAATGTTTATCATAGAGTCTAACAAATATCACTCATCAAATGTAAGCCAGTATTGTTTTACCAGTATTAAGTTGATCCACAAGAAATGGCTGACATTTGAACATTTTGATCTGCAAAACAGTAAGTTAAACTTAGTAGAATACCAACCCTGATACTTGATATTGTGATATCTATTTCTGGGTTTCTTTTTTTTTTTTTTGGAGACAGAGTCTCGCTCTGTCTCCCAGGCTGGAGTGCGGTGGCCCGATCTCGGCTCACTGCAACCTCTGCCTCCCGGGTTCAAGCAATTCTCCTGCCTCAGCCTCCGGAGTAGCTGGGACTACAGGCGTCTGCCACCACGCCTGGCTAATTTTTGTATTTTTAGTAGAGACAAGGTTTCACCATATTGGCCAGGCTGGTCTCGAACTCCTGAACTTGTGATCAGCCCACCTCAGCCTCCCAAAGTGCTGGGATTACAGGCATGAGCCACCGCGCCCGGCCTCTATTTTTAATCATTAGCACAAATATCAGTACTTTGGAACTCCTCAAGAGAATAGATCCTAGTTCAACTAATATTTACCTCTTAGAAGAAGCTAGGTTAATGTTACTATTCCAGTCCTTCTCAATCATTAATGTGCATAAGAATCACCTGAGGATCTTGTTAATATGCAGTTTGCTGTTTCAGGGATGGAAAATGAGATGCTGCATTTCTGAAGGCTTCCAGGTGATGCTGTGGCCACTGGTCCATGAACTACATTTTCAATAGTAGAAGGACACACTTGACAAAGAGTGCTAAAATGACCCTTCCTTTTCAGATTCCTTTCTCTAGCCTGGCTCTTGGCATTGGACACTTACTCTATGCTTCACTTGGCCCCTAGCTCTGAAACTAACTAAAAAGCTAATTCAGCTAGTCAGGTAATGCAGTCAAGTCAGTTTTGCCGATACTCCCGACCTGATCTTGTATCTTTGTCCTGATCTTAGTTTCAGGACTCTTCAGTGTGACTTACTACAGCATTATCCCCCTGCAGAGATAATCACTGAAGTTTCAAAACATGTCAAATCAGAGAATTCCTGATTTGAGGTGAGTGACAGTAAAGCATTGAAGAGACCCTTATGAATAAGTTACAAACACTTCAAATGAAAGGCATCTTGGTTTTTTTCCACTAAAAAATAATCACATTATGTCCACCATTTATTTATTGTCTTCTATGTGCCAATAAGCACAAAACTGATCACAAATCAACTCAACAATCTTTCAAGGCAGTTATTACCATCCCCATTTAACTGTCAGCTCTGCTGTGTCCAAGTCTGTGCAAATTGGTAAAACAGAGCAGACACTGGTGATTTTGTTTTTTTGTAGTTGTCCAAGGTAAAATGGAAAGTATTTTAAATACCTTGGGATGAGCTAGTAGCAAGTTGGCAGCTTCCTCAAAATATTCCAAGTCCACCTCCTGCAGTTTGTCAGGCAAGTCTTTGTAGGCAAAATATGCTAATGCCAGCACTGCAAAACCATGGGAAGCCAAAAGACTGGCCCGAAATTCTACTAGGCTCCCAATGCCCCCAAACAAATCAATGACTCCTGGGAAAGGGCCTTCCCCTGCGAGTGCAAAGAGAGAAGAGAATGGGATCAGAAAGAGCGAAAAAAAGGTCAAATAGCCGTGAAAATGCAAGGTGAGCAAAATTACACACACACACACACACACACACACACACACACTGGCACATTAGTTTTAAAACTTTATGGGAGGCCAGGGGCGGTGGCTCACGCCTATCATCCCAGCACTTTGGGAGGCCAAGGCGGGCGGATCACAAGGTCAGGAGATCGAGACCATCCTGGCTAACACGGTGAAACCCCGTCTCTACTAAAAAATACAAAAAATTAGCCGGGCGTCGTGGCGGGTGCCTGTAGTCCCAGCTACTAGAGAGGCTGAGGCAGGAGAATGGCGTGAGCCCGGGAGGCGGAGCTTGCAGTGAGCTGAGATCGCGCCACTGCACTCCAGCCTGGGCGATAGAGCGAGATTCCATCTCAAAAAAAAAAAAAAACTTTATGGGAAATACGGGTTCTCTAATAATTTGATACAATTTGTTATTGTTTTTATTTCCATTATGATATGGTTTGGCTGTGTCCCCAGCGAAACCTCAACTTGAATCGTATCTCCCAGAATTCCCAGAGTCAAAGAAGGAATTCTGGGAGATACGATTGGGAGGGACCCAGGGCAAGGTAATTGAGTCATAGCAGCTGATCTTTCCGGTGCTATTCTCATGATAGTAAGTCTCACGAGATCTGATGGTTTTATCAGGGGTTTCTGCTTTTGCTTCTTCCTCATTCTGTCTTGTTGCTGCCATGTAAGAAGTGCCTTTCACCCTCCGCCATGATTATGAGACCTCCCTAGCCATGTGGAACTATAAGTCCAATTAAATCTCTTTTTGTTCCCGCTTTCGGGTATGCCTTTATCAGCAGCATGAAAATGAACTAATACACATTAACAGTGGTTTCTGTATCACAAAAGATTAGTTTCACCTGGAGGGAGAAAAAGGGCTCCTTGCACTGGACCTTCTTGGATCTGCTGCCTCTGCACCCCAGGGCCTGAGAACCAGTGCTGCACGGTCTGGCTGGCCTTGGGCTGAACAGTGGCTGAATCTTGAAAACAAATGGAGTCATATAGGTCCAGACTGACCCAAAAGGGGCTGTTCATCACATCCTGCTTGAGCAGCCTCCGGAAAGGCCTCTCAGGCTTCAGAGACCAAAAGAGGCCCATTGGATGTACCCCCATGTAGTCACCTCCAAATGCCGGAGCCTGCTCCAGGTCCACCTCACCAGCCTCATTAGCCCTGTAGAAGGCCATGGATCAGAATAGATTCCTCTTCTCGTCCTTCAGCGAGGCCTTCAGAGTTATCACCTGGGATGGGGGCAGGCCTGTCCCTTGGATATGCACTGGATCATCTGCAAGGGCACTTGCTGGGGTGGCTGACAGCTGGAACATTGGCAACTGGCAAGGGACCAAGTGGTGCTTCACCCTCTGTAGTGGGAGAGAAGACTTTAAGTTGGAGATTTAAATTCCAAGAAAAGGTCAAGGCAAGGTTTATATTAGGTCTGACCAAATTAAACTTCTGGGAACTTAGTGAAAAATGTGCAGAACTTTTGGAGGAGGGAGAGAGAGACATGCAGAAAGTACTCATTGTTCTCATTTTACAGATGAGGAAACGGGTTATATGGCATGCTCCAAGTCTCACAAGTAGTTGATAGTAGAAGTGGGAATTCAAGCTATATCTGACACCACAGCCTTCTGTCTTATCCATTATAACACTAGTAAATCTTAGTTTCGTGGTTTTCAGTACATTAAGGTTTAATTCTTCAGCTGAAATAATACCCGTATGACCTATCTTTGTAAGGTATTAGGAGCCAAGGGGGATAATACATGACAAAGGGCTCTGAAACAACACTGCTTTTCAGCCCCCACACCTGTTGGGTATGGCTATGGGCACAGACTTACATAAACACACTCTCTGTTATTGTCGTTGTTATTTTCCTTTTAGTCTGTCATCCCTACCTGCCATTGTTAGACCTCTAGCTCTTTGCAGATTTTCCATTGTTTGTTCTTTTTAAGGGAAAATAAAACTTCATGCTCTTGTCTTTGCTATTATGCTTTTCTAATAGAGTTATGAATGCCAATGTTGTTTGTAGTAAAGAGACTACCATATACATTTGATTGGCCACTTTGTACCCTGCTCCATTATAAGGAAAATGGGGTCTTCTTCCCTCCCTCCCTTCCTTCCTTTCTTTTTTCCTCCGTACCCCATTCCACAAAAGATTTGAATCTGTTTACTGACAAAGAGTAAAACAGTTAAAGAGTAAAATTAAATAAAATAAGATTTGGGAAAATATGGACTAGGATTACAAGTATTTATCACAGAAAACCTGGAACATGAAAAGAAGGGCATTTTGTGGGTTGTAAGTTTGGTGCCAATCTACTGATAGCCAAAGGAAAAAGGGCTGCCTGGTCAGTTATGTTGTTCTAACTATTCTCAAAGAAAAAATTATCAGTTCCTTAGGGGAAAGGAAAAAGTGAGGCCCTTCCCAAAAAGATCTTTAGCTCTAAAAGATATTTCTCACATGAGACTTTGGCATATACATCTGAACCATTTTTCAACAATATCTTCACAGAAATAGCAGTAATAGGTGTCCCCCTAAAAGCTTGACTCTCCAAGGGGTCCTTAATTTTATTTAGGGGATAATTCAAAATAAAGGCTTTGGGGTTTGTATTTGGGTGCAGAAAAACTTCTGTGGAAATAAATAGGCTCCAGTAGTGCAGGTGGAGGAAAAGAGCAATTGATGCCTGTCTTAGTTTGTTGTGTATGCTATCAGGGAATACTTGAGGCTGGGTAATTTATAAAGAAAAGAGGTTTACTTGGGGCTTATGATTCTGCAGGCTGTACAAGAAGCATGGCTCCAGCATCTGCTCTTGATGTGGGCTTCAGGCGGCTTCCACTCATGGTAGAAGGAGAAGGGGAGCCGTCATGTACAGCCATCACATGAGAGGAGAGGAAGCAAGAGAAAGAGGGCAGGAAGATGCCAGGCTCTTGCTAACAACCAGCTCTCAGAGGAACTAAGAGTGGGAGAATGCACTCATTACCACAAGGACCTCAACAAAACATTCAGGAGAGATTTGCCCCCATGACCCAAATACCTCCCAAGAGGCCTCACCTCCAAGAGTAGGGATCAAATTCAACGTGAGATTTGGAGGGGTCAAACATCCCAACTACAGCAATGCCCAATTCTCTACTGTAGATAAGAGATTAGTCATCAGAGGTAGAAGAGGATCAAGGGGAAAACGTCTTTTTGCATTTACTTTTAAAAAGTGATTTTCTGCAAAGTACACACTCCCACCTGATAAACTCATTAACAAACAGCACTACTGGCCATTTTACACACACTTAAATTCATGGTCAATACATTAATTTTGAATAAATAGAATGATTATGAATATATTTTCTCAATATTGGGAAAGTTCTTGACGGAATGTGGCATCATTTCCAACTTCATGAGTCTTTCATTCATGTTAGGGAGATGGGACATGTAATATTAAAAAGAGTGTCTGGTGTCCCCTGCAACATTTCAATGTTCTCTAGGTATTAATATTTTCTGATATGATTCCTTCCTGTAAGCCTCTGTATCTGCTGTCCTCTTTGTCCCCCAAAAAGATATCTTTAAGAAGACATCATTGATTCTTCCTCTCCTTGCTATTATTCTCCTTCTCTAAACTTCTGTACAATGCATTAGCCCAATACAGCTTTTATTTTTATAGTTAATTATTTTAATTGCTTACTATAACCACTCTTCAGCATGCATCCTGTATCTAGTTTTATCCTCCCAAATGAGCCTCTCAAGGGTAGTAACTGTGTATGAAAACTTTAGGGATCCTTTCAACATTGATATAATAAATTATACAATGTACATGTTTAGGAGTTATAAGGTTTATAAGGGGCAGAATAAATTAGCACCAAAAATGTAATGGAAATAAATATTATATAGTACATGTGTGATTGAAGATTTGAGGCTTTCTTCCCAACTTGTAGTTCCTTTTTATCTGAGAATAGTCTCCTAAAGCCCAGAGCTATGATCACTCAAGAGCTATGTATGTACCTTGTGGCATCAGCCCTGGTGCCATTGCTGATTGGATTAGAGCTGAATTTCAGATTCAAGATGTGGCAATGATGTTTTCACCTTGTTAGCTTAGAATTGAGACCCAGAGATCAATAGTCACTCTCTCAGGGTCAAGACTAAGGTGAGGCAAGAGAGGCACCTAGAGGACCAAAGTTTACTTTCATGTCACTGAGAGACCAAGCCTCTAAGGTCTTCCTGATATTTTGCACCCTTGAACCTCTCTTTCCTTACCCTGGCCCTGGACTCACATGTAATTGAATCCATAAAATTCAGAAGCTGAAGCTGTATCCAGATAATCCCAGAAAATCAGTCTTAGGGAAAAGATGTGGGAGTTTGAGGGGAGGGGGAGAGGGAGAGGAGGGGAAGGGGGGGAAGGGGAGGGGGAGGGAGAGATGGGGAGGGGAAGAGGGAAGGGGAGGGGGAAGAGGAAGGGGACGGGGAGAGGGGGGGAACGGGGGAGACGGGGACAGGGAGAGGGGGAGGGGGAGATGGGGGGGAGAGTGGGAGGGGGAGGGGGAAGGGGAATGGGAGGGAGAGATGGGGAGGAGGAGGGGGAGATGGGGAGGGGCAGGGGGAGGGGGAGGGGGAGATGGGGACCAGGAGAGGGGGAAGGAGAGAGGGGGAGAGAGAAGTTATGAATGAATAAAGTAGATATAAAGATGAAAGGCAGAGAAAGTAATCTTACTAGATTTCAAATTCCTGGTTCCAACCACTCCTGAAGGTCAACTGTACTTGAGTTCTTTGAGACACTCTGGCATCCTTATAATAGAATCCCTTTGTTTACATTAGCTTGAGTTGATAACTATTACTTGCAATCAAAGAGTCAACTAGTTCAACTTTGCATTTCACAAACTCGGGATGATTGACTTCTGTAAGGTCATATCATGGTCAAGAGAGAAAAGGTGCCAAGTTTCCTGACTTAGTTGCATGCTTTTTTTTTACTGGCCAACAGACTATGATTCAAACTTTGGGAAAGCATATGACTTTTACTTTTTCTAAAAAGTTCTACTGAGTGAGAAATTCCTCTAGGATATCCCAACAGTCTGGGGTTTCCTTTTGGTCATATATGAGAGTCTACCAACAGAGAAAATCCCAGCATCAAACTCCTTCCTAAAACCAGGCTGGCTATGCCCCTAGACTATGTGATGGAATCAATCTCACCCTGTTATATGAAGGTCTGGTATCCCACATCACTCACCACCTCTCTGTGTTGTCTCTGCTACTCTATATTAGTGAAGGCTACTAATGTCAAGGTACAGAAATCTCCAAATTTTGAGGCCCCTAGTCCCAAAAAGAGATCTTTCAATATAATCCCACTTAACCTTTACCAACAGAAATATATCTAACCCGGAAAAAATGATCTTGTTATCTAAACTGAAAAAACATATTATACATTTTCGTGTATAGATTCCTTTCTGGTGAATTGATAGCATCAGCACACTGTAAACTAAGGAGAGCAGTTGTAGGATTTATTAGTTTAGCTACAGAAAAATCAGTCTTTTCCCATGAGTGTGGGTACTTTTTTATTCTCAGCCCACTACTATCAATTCTCCTTAAAGCTGGGGTATTTGTTTGTAGACACCTGATTTTCAGTCTGTAAGAAACACAATGATTCCATCATGTTTCTGTCCTTGAATCACTTGTTGAATTGTATGTTAGGACAGTGACTGTCTTTAGGACTCCGAGCATGCACATTAAACAGCCACGAGACATACAGTCTGTATCAGTCTTTTCTCACGTTGCTGATAAAGACATACTTGAGACTGGGCAATTCTATTCTCCCCTTAATTTATTTTTCTCTAACAGCAATTATTAAGCATTTACTAAAAGCTAGCTACTGGATAATATTAATTCCCATAGTAAAGCTTTTTCACTTTTCAAGGCTCTTTCAAGGTCATTATTCCCTGTGGGAATGACAACCCTGTAGGAATAAAAACATATTACTATGCTTACATTACAAATTAGGAAATAGAGCTCAGTGAGTTAAATGATTTAGCCAAGTTTGCCTATGTAGTCAATGGTGAAGCAAGAATCTTAACTCATACCAGGTGACCCAACACATAAACCTTAACTATTTTCCCCAAATGAGAGTAGAAATATGAAAACTCACTCTTCTCTTAACCTACCCCTCCTTTTTTTCTTTCTCAATACTTTATTTTTAATTTCATCTTCATTTTTCCTGACTCTGAACCTTTTAGTTAAGTATACACCCTGTTGCATACTTTGGCAGGACAGATAGTGAAATAGTAGAATTATAGCCCACAAACTCATGCGTGCACAAATGTATTTTTTTCTATTTTTCTAGATTCCAAGTAAATTCCATTTTAAGTATTTGTTCTAAGATTATATCTCTGCCACCTGGAGGAACAAAGACTCAAAATAGAAATTACTTGGAATCCAAGTAAGTTTTCTGTGACTTCTATAATGCTGAAAGACTCGGGAAGCTTATATATTATTGTGCATTCTTCTGAACCTGCTGTACAATGTATGCCAGAGGCTCCAAATTCAGATACCCATGGGGACCCAAGCAGGTAATATAAATTTATAGATAAGGGCCAGGAATAAATGAGATACAGAACTGTAAAGAACTAAAGACAACCTAGTCTTTAGCCCAGTCTAAAGGTATTCAGTGGGCAACAAAACAAGATATGAACCAAACAAAACATACTCATTTATGACTTCTGGAGTGCATATCAGCCATTAGGATTTTTATAACTCAAAAACCAAAAGAAGATTTTTTCCCTCTTTCTGATGTGTTACCTTTTTTTAAGGCAATGGATATCAACTGGCCTCCTTTAGGTAGAAGAAGGATGACAAAGTAAAGTGGAAATGCCAAAATGAGGGGATGAGAAGTGGGAAGTGAGAACCCATCTATTAATATGTCCAATGATAAAGAATGAGTTGAGCCGGGCGCGGTGGCTCATGCCTGTAATCCCAGCACTTTTAGAGGCCGAGGCAGGCAAATCACGAGGTCTGGAGTTCGAGACCAGCCTGGACAATATGGTGAAACCTCATCTCTTCTAAAAATACAAAAATTAGCCGGGTGTGGTGGCATGCACCTGTAGTCCCAGCTACTCAGGAGGCTGAGGCAGAAGAATCACTTGAACCCGGGAGGTGGAGGTTGCAGTGAGCCAAGATCACGCCACTACACTCCAGCCTGGGTGACAGAGCAAGACGCTGTCTCATAAAAAAAATAAAAAAAGAACAAGTTGACACTGGCTGGCCTCAAAATCCAAAGCCTTCAAACCTTCTCCTTGCCATCTCTCCCCATGCTTAATCTATATGACTTTTTCCTACTTTTCTATTACATTTGTATTACCTTATTCTCAGTTGGATCCCAACTAATCCATATACATGGATTCATACCCTTGTTAGTTGATAAGGCTTATTGCTTCTCAGAGCTAGCTCCTCATAGATTCCAGAGTGTTAATTTATAAGATCCTTAAGGCTTCTCCTGTCCAACACTTCATTGTCATAATCATCAATAAACTACCTACTGTATAAGGGACACCCATCTGAAGAGGTCTCTCCTTCCTCTGGGCCCTCCAGCATGCCTCTCAAAGCACTTAATATATTGAGCCTTATAATCATTTATGTTGTGTTTTCTCTCTCCTATTAATCTGAAATTTTCTTGAGGGCAGAATTCTGTTTGATTTATTTGTCACCTTTACTGTATACAGAGCCCTTCACATACCATGTGTTCATAAATGATTTTAACTGTACACTCTTCATTCCCACAAACTCTCGTCCTTTTTCCCAAATCTTTCTTCCTTTTTACAGTTTTTTTTTTTTAGTCTCTACAATATTGTCAGACTGATCTCTGCAAAACTCAAAAGTCAAATTACTCTTCTACTTTAAACTTCCAGTAGCTCCCGGATTCATTTAAGGGTAGAATCTAAATCCTTTGGCATAGCACTTAAGACCATTTCCAAGGGAGTGGCTCTACCATGGAGCCCTAGAGACTCTACATGTGTCTACATGGGATGCACAGGCAAAGCTTGGACTGCCATATGACCTAAATCTGGGTGGAATGCCCTGTGATCCTCCTAGGAACATGGCAAGGGAGGAAATCTTCAGAGAAGGCTTCGCGAGGTTGTTTTCTCATCTGCCTCTATCTTGTGGGATGCTGCCATGAGGCGGTTTTCTGATATAACTCCCAGGTTCCAGAGGAACATGAGACTTCCAACTTAACCCCTATGCTTCCGTAGGGCAGAACTGCAGCTCTATAGCCATTTAGCTGCAGTCTGGAATTGACTGGCCAGCAATAGGGTGTATCACAACTCTTGCTGAAGCCATCTGACCCCTTTTGTTTCAGTGCCATCCTTTTGGTGTGTGGGATGAGGACTCATAGGGCTGACATCTTTAGCTTCTCTTTTCTTCACTATGTATATAAGTAATAATCTGGCTGAATCTAAAATTAGTTCATTATTTCTTTACCAGCTGAATCTGTAAGTGTTAGACTTGGACGGTCCTTTGTGTTTGGCACCTTTCATAATCTGATTCAATCAAAGCCTTTAACCCTGATCTATTTACTAGTCTAAACAACTATCTCATTACAAACTTAACATATGATATTGTGAAAGTCTGCTTCTTTATCTGACTATCCATTTTCTGCTCTATACAAATACAGTAGTCACTAGCCATACATAGCTAATTAAATGTAATTAATTAAAAATAAATAAAACAAAAATCTAGTTCCTCAGCCACACTAACCACAATTTAATTGCTCAATAATCACATGTAACTAGTGGCTACTATATTGAACAATGTAGATACGGAACATTTCTGCCATTGGAGAATATTCTATTTGATAGCACTATTCCAGATTGTAAATTCCTCAAGGACAGAAATTCTACCCTGTTCAACACTGTGTTCTTCAGTTCTTAGAATAGGGCATGACACATATTTACTAAGCAAGTGGCTGCTTAATAAATATTTGATGAATACATGAAAGAATAAATGATATGCATAAAAGAAAAAAATTGAGTAAAATTTCTGAGAGACGATGAATAAGAAAGAATAGAAGCCAACTTGACTGTTTATATTCTACTTCTGAAGATGGGAGATGCTTCAAGATCTGATTGAATATATTTTCCCAGCTTCCCCACTTTTTTGCACTGGAAGCCAGGACTCCTCACACTGCAGGGTATTCAGGAAACAAAGGATACAAAGCAGTGGAGAACAAGCAGCATTAACCTTGCTGCCTTCCACAGGATTCGCCTTGAAGTGGTTGGGGAGGGAGCCCTTAGCAATATGGAGACAGCCTTATTGGAGGCTGAACATGAAAGCAATGTTATGGAGTCTGGAGGTCCCTGACCACAGTAAAAGGGATCAAGTCTACATCACTGGGAGACAGTGGCCTATTAGAAGAAAGAGAAGTCAAAAACTGGTAGAGCGCCAAAAAGAGGGGCAGAAAACAAAGAATAAAAGAACAGAAGGTCACCAATGCAGATTAAAATTACTAATCAAGAAACAAAACTCTTGTTTTCTTTAGGAGCCTGTTGCTTTTGTCATCACTGGCACTTCATCTCTCAGTCCAGGTAGAAATACCGCCCCCAGCTTACCTCCCCCTACTCCCGTGCACTAAATCGCAGGAAAAGTGTTTTGAAAGTCAAGAAACAATCTCTATAAAATTCTTATTAGCTGGACCCTTACTACTCTGGAAGCCCAGCTGTGCATGTTGCCTCCAAAATAGTCATCCAGCAATCTCTTAGTTAGGTTGATGCATCTGACAAAAATCTGTATTTCAGAGCAATGAACCACCTGAGATGATGATTACTCGTCCCTCAGAGAACTGTGTTTTCCTCTGGGATGACAGAAACAAACACAGCAAGATGAAAGCAGCCTTTCCAGATGCCCTGCAGGCAGATGTATCAGAAAGCAGACCCTCTCTACAAAGCAATGACATCCCTGACTCCCCAGATACTCACCGTGAGTTCAGCTGCAGGAGGCAGACTAAAGCAGAATGGCTCACTGAACTTAGAAGCCAACTTAGAAGCACTGGATGCTTGCCTGTTGCTTGCTAATTTATATCATTTAAAACAACCCAGCCTATTGAAAGTTGAAATTGTCTGCACAGAAACCATCCACTACTCCTGTTTTTAAGTCCCCAGCGACAGGGCTACCAGCAGATGCTGCCGAAGGGTCTGGGCAGAGCCCAGTCTCTCTAGTCTGCTTTTTAGTTCAGGTGTTCACAATGGAGTCTAATATTTCATCACATAGCTCAGGTTTCTAAGCCTTTTCTCTTGACTCACTCAACTCCTGGTTCTAATCTCCTTCGCTTTAGTTCCTTCTGTGTCTCCTCCTCTAAGTCAGTGGTCTCTGGACAGTTTCCTCTGGAACAGTGTCTAAGAGAGCAAGTCCCAAATATCAATTTTAAGAGCAATGTGAGCTGGTGGCATAAGACTCACCTGAGGAGCCTGTTAAGTAAAGATTCCTGGGTCCTGCACCTGAAAGTTCTGACTTGATAGGTCTGAGATAAGGTTCTTGCATATGTATTTTTAACAGGGATTTCTAATGTGTATCCTAATCTGGAAACCACTTTTCCAAAGGACAGCAAAAGCTTACCCAGACAAAAATGCTACCCAGAACTGGAACTACTGAAATTTTCATTGTCCCATTGTTAATCCCATCAGCCAAAGGCCATTGTCAAAATGTATAAATGAGCTAACTTACAGATTGTAGACTCTGCTTTAGGCTGTGAATTCCTTAAGGGAGGGGCCTTGCCTTTTTGTTTTTGTATCTCTTGCAGCCAGTAAGCTATAGTTGGAAGATCACTGGTCTCTGGACTCAGATTTAGATTAGATCCCTTACTTCATTACTCTGTGCGACTTACATCAAACAAATTACTTAACTTTCCATGTGCTTCAGCCTTCTAATTTGTAAAATGGGAGTAATATGATAAAATGGAATAAAAGTGAAACATAAGACTTGGAAAAAAGCGGTTGATCTTGGAACTCAAAGACATATTGGGATGTCTAGAAGAAGAGGGAGGTATTTTGGTACACAGTTCTCATACTGGATGAGAGGTACATTGATGAGATAGCAAGGACCCCATATTCATGACTAATTTCCAGAACCAGATACAAACATAGGAGGTAAAGTGGAGGAGAGGTGCAGCAGAAATAGAAAGTGTTGTTTTTACTAAGAATCTATGAGAAACACAGAAAAAGGTAGGCAAGTCATGATGACCCAGGTGGCAAAGCGAAGTACAAGCTAAGAAGTACATCCAGGCCTTCTCCACCCTGCTCCCCAGAACAGGGAACATGGTACTCCATAGACCATCAAGGGATATAGCCAATGAGAATTTAGGACACTGGCAAAGCACTGGACGTAAGGTGTTCACCATATACAAGGGAGGTATTCGCAGTTGTCAGTAGTAGGTATGAGCCACACACACACACACCAAAAGTGAGAGGACATTCCTCAACTTTGGTCATATCACTGAAGAAGGCCTGGAGCAAGCAGAGCTAGAAAAAGAAAAAATGAATGGTCAGCGTCACAGGGAAGCAGATAGAACTTATTGATTAACACATGAGACATCCCTAAGGATACCCTACAAATAACTGTCAGGGGTGTTTTCAGGAGAAAATATTTTCCACATTCTCCAGAAGGATCAGGAACTGTAAAATAGAGGTTAAGGTATAAAGTAGTTGACATATTTTAGAGCTTAATGACTGTTACTTGATTTTCCTTGCAAACAATTGAAGAAGAATTTAGAGTGCCTGGATACCCTAACATTGACAAATTATTTTAAATAAACCTCTGTTTTATTTGGTGTATTTGTATTATTCCATTTGGAAAAATTATAGGAAAACTTAAAATATGACACAGCTATATATGTGCATATTTGCTTAACTAAAATATATGCACATGCAAACTGAAGAAAAACACATATGGCCATCCAGATGACATAATCAAGCATACTTGTAATCATTAGCAGCCATCCTTAACTATTGTGAGATATAGTTCCTGATAGTAACCAAGATGACTGTGAATTTGCCACCATCCATATCCATAATGGCAATCACATAGCTATTATGGTATCAGTTCCATATTCATTCAACAATAATTCATTAAGTTCCCATTATGTCCAAGGATGTTTGAATTAACCAGGACCCTGTCCCTGCTCAAGAAATTCGTAGACTAGTTCAGGGGTTGGCAAACTACAGTCTGCAGACAAAATCCAGTCTCTATCTGTTTTAATAGATAAAGTTTTTGTTTATGTGCTATTTACAGCTCCTTTCACTTTACAATGGCAGTCGATGATTGCCATAGAGACCATATATTTTGGAGCATTTCAGATTTCAGATTTCAGATTTTCAGATTAGGGATCAGCCTGCATAAATAGTTTCAGTTTCTTTGGAAAACCCTGACTAATACAGCCTATGATCCTAAAATATTTACTTTCTACCCCTTTATAGCAAAAGTTTGCTGACCCCTGGTGTAGCTGAAAAGATAGAAAAAGTAAACAGGCAATTCTAATGGAATGTGGTAAGTGCACTTCCAAAAATAAAATCCTAGGAATACTCAGAAGGGGCACCTAACACATAGCAGGAAAGATTCCTGGAAGTGGTACCTATGAGTGGAGCTTGACACCTGGGTAAGGACTCACTGGATAAAGAAGTATAGAAGTGCCTTCTAGAAAGAAGGACAAGTTTATTTATAGATATATCCCCTTTGTGGGACTGCAATATAATAAAAGCTTCATGAGGGCAGGCATTTTTTTTTTACTGTTTTATTCCTTAAAGTATCCAATCACCTGGAACTATTCCTGGCTCATTGAGGGTGCTCAATAAATATGCACTGAATGAATTCAAAACATTCAAATGGCTGGAGTACTGGGAAGATGAGTTTGGAAGGAAGAAAGTTATATAATCAAGCCAAACAACAAAGTGAGGCCTCAGAAATCATATGCTAGTTTTTGAACATTGATCAGTATTTACATCACTAATGACAGATTAGTTTGGACTTAGAAAACAGTCCTTATCTGCTGGATTCTGGCCTCCAAACCCAGTGATTATTACTTGAGGGATTTTAGAGGTTGAGTTGGGAGGGGATTAATGGAGACTGGGAAATTTATGAATTTTCTCTTTGGAATGTACTTTGAGACTAGTGCCCAAATCTATAGAAAGGGGAAAGTTTTTGAAATGACAATTATTTTTAACTCAAGCCTGTATCCACTAATGCATCATCTTTTTTATTTACTTGGATGCAGTAGCTGTGACTAGGGGGTTTAGAGCCAACAGTTTTAATTAGAATGAAATAATGAAACATTGTCCCTATCTTACCTCATTTGCCAATGGCTGATTGACAAACCTAAGAAATGTTATGAATAGCATGCTCATGGAGGAAATAACTGGCTAGTTTTAAATATGTCAGTATGAAAATACTACTTTAAATGAGAGATTTCAATTGTATAGTGAAGGAAAAAATGATTTCTGGCTAAGGCATAAGTAAGCTCTATGTTTTACCCTCATTTGGTCACAATGTAGATTGGTCTTCAATAACACTTATCAATGATTATTCACAACTAAAATTAATCTTCCAGTTATCCTAGAATATTATTTTTCATTTTTGAATCCCAGGAAGTATTTCAGGACTCTTGTTATAACCTACCACACTGAACTGCTCCTGACTACCTGCCATGCTTAGCAAAAAGGTCTTCTTTTTCCTAACATAAATTTTAGTATCAAATTAATTTATACCATGTGTCATGTAACATCTCTTATCAGGGAAATTTTACTTTATAGATTGCAATCTTGGAAGTATATTATTGTGCCCATTATAATCTTTTAAAGTATCTTTTTAAAAAATCTAGAATTACTGACAAAAAGGTTAAAATTTAGGAACATCTGATTGCTTAAGTCATGGATAAGGAGAGGGGAAATGGTAGCAAAAATAAATGATTTTGCAATGAAGCCTATTCTTTTTTTTTTTTTTTTTTTTTTTTTTTTTTGAGGTGGAGTCTCGCTCTGTCACCCAGGCTGGAGTGCAGTGGCGCCACCTCAGTTCACGGCAAGCTCTGCCTCTGGGGTTCACACCATTCTTCTGCCTCAGCCTCCTGAGTAGCTGGGACTACAGGCACCTGCTACCATGCCCAGCTAATTTTTTGTATTTTTAATAAAGACGTGGTTTCACCGTGTTGGCCAGGATGGTCTCGATCTGCTGACCTCGTGATCCGCCCGCCTTGGTCTCCCAAAGTGCTGGGATTACAGGCATGAGCCACTATGCCTGGCCACAATGAAGACTATTCTGATGGTTTAAAGTCACCAGGTATACTTAGGGATTCCATGAAGTTTCCACATAGCTACAGCACAATCAATGGAAACTATGACTCTTTTTGTGATAGATCCAAGAATGTTCCTAGTCATTAATGGAACCTAAAAAATGTTCTCCATAAGAAGGGTAAATATAGAAATTGAAGTGTTTCTAGCTGTCCTAAGATAAAAACAATGACGGTGTATGACCAAAATTTATTTCAAATTTCCAGAGAACAGAGTTTAATAGACTATGGGAGAAAATCTCAATATAATGGAATGGAGAAAATATAGGGATAAATCCCCGAATTCTAATCCCAGTCCTGCCATTAAATTAATTGCAAAAAAAAAAAAAAATTCAAGGCTCTGTTACTTACCTATGTAATGAGAAGGCTGGCTCTAAACAATATTCAAAAAAGTTACTCGTTAGGTAGCTATTGTATTTTCCTCTAATTTGGTCTTGAGGTCTCTCTCAGGAACATGGGTAAAAAATCTTGCCCTACCCTGCCAGGGCTCCAGGGATTTGGGCATGAATGTTTATAGTGTGTCTTTCATGGGACACTTCTGTATCAGCAGACAGCCTAATGCCTGGGTGTCCAACCCACGACAGGGTGTTCCTCTCACAGAAAACTTGTTTATACTGGGAGATGCCTTTGGGGCTCTTGTCTGACCTGTGTCCAGTTTATTCCTACCAAGACAGCCCCTCTCTAGGACAGCCCTGATGGAGAAAGAAGGTAGAAGGTAGATTTGGGTGTGTTGGTCAGGTGAGACACAGAAGAGGCAACTTAGCAAAACACACGAAATAACAGAAGAGCGTATTACTTACAGATCAGAGAACAGAGGGAAAGAGCACCAACGGGAAGGGGAGAGCTTTCCAGGATATGCACTCAACCAGCATGTGGGGAGCAAGAGAGAGAGAGGGACCTTTGGTCCAAAGCCTTTATTGGGGTTCAGGGTGTTACCCAAGCAGGTTTCCCGAGGGGAGTTTTAATTGATGGGTTTAGAACAAGCAGGCAATAGTTCCAAGAGGTCACAGGCAACTGAGAGGTGGTTGCTGAGCATATCTGCACAGTTCGTATGAGGTGTGGGGGTCAGTGGGCAAGTCAAGTAAGTTGTATCTAGCTGTCCCCTAAGGAGGTGGTCACAAAAAGGCATTTGTATAAGCAGATATCTGGATCAGCCACAGTGAGGAAGTTGAAAGAGACAGAGAACTAGAAATTGTTGTCAAGGGTGACTAAGTCCTGCTTCTGGGATGAGAAAGTTCAACTTATACTCAAAGTGGATACATTTGAGTATACATGCATATAAAGGCAATATAAAATTATAAGAATTCACTATAGTAGCATCTTTTTAATTTTTGCCATATCTGGCTACTCCCTGACCTATTACTTGTAAGGCAAGAATAATATTTAATAATATCTCTCAATGCATTTACAATTCTCAGCAATCATTTTATTGTTCTTCTGAAGCTTTATTACATTAAGGCAAAGACCTGGGACTTATTGTCCTAGGGAAGAAGGCAACCCTGCCTAGAAAGGTCTAGGCCTTGACCAAAGGTGGGAATGGATTATGAAAAACTGAAAATCCCGGAGGAACCTTTTGTTCTATTTCCTGTTTGGAGTTCTGGAAAACACAGTAAAATGGGACATTGTGTGTTTAGACAAATAGAGATTCAAAGATAGCACACGCAAGTCTCTTTTTGCTCTCCTGTTCTGTGAAAGGTTTCTGGAAGTTTCCATATTCTCATAGTGATGGGCTTGGAAGGCAGCTGAGAGTTGAAGGCCAGTAAGTCTCACCTGAAAACATTATGGCAATGGGTGATCTAGGATCACGTAACTGTCCTTGGCTGCTTTATTTATAAGGAAATAACATAGATTCAGTAATTTATAAGTAATAGAAATTTATTTCTCACAGTTCTGAATACTGAGAAATTCAAGATCAAGGCACTGGCCGGTTTAGTGTCTGATGAGGGTTTGCTCTCTGCTCCACAGATGGCACCTTGTTGCTGCATCCTCACATGGCAGAAGGAGCAAAACCGCTGCCTTCAACCTTTTTAAGGCTGATCCCATTCACGAGAGCAGAGCCTCTGTGATTTAATCACTTCCCAAAAGGTCCCACTTCTTAATACCATTACTTTGGGGGTTAGGTTTCAACATATAAATTGGGGGAAACACCAAAATTCAGACCATAGAGTTCTGCTTCTGGCCGTCCGAAATGTATGTTCTTCTCACATGCAGAATGTATTCATTCCATCCCAGTAGCTCCCCAGGCCTTAACTTGTTCCAGCACCAATTCAAAAGTCTGAGGTCCAAAGTCTCATTTAAATCAAATATGACTGAGACTCAAAGGTGTGACTCATCCTGAGGCAAATTCCCCTTCAGCTGTGAGCCTCTGAAATCAAACAAGTTACATGCTTTGAAAATACAATGGTGGGATAGGCACAGGGCAGACATTTCCTTTCCAAAAGGTAGAAGTAGGAAGGAAGAAAAAGATAATAAATCCTGACTAACTGTAAAACCCAACAGGGCAAATATTAAGGCTCAAGAATAATCTTCGACTTGACATTTTACCTTCTAAACACTTGGGGGGTGGGGGGTAGTCCTGGCCATGACTTTGCTGGGCAAAACCCATATAGCATTTCTCACATATTGGAGTCACATGCCTATGGCTCTCCCAGGCTGGAATTGCACACTGGTGGCTCTACCAGTCTGGGGTCTTGGGGGTGGCTCTGCTCCCACGGTTTCACTGGGCATTGCCATACTGGGGTGGGGGCTGTCTGTGGTGGTCCTGCTCCTGTGATAGTTCTCTGTCTGGGCTCTGAGGCTTTCTGGGGCATCCTTTGAAATCTAAGTGGAGGCAGGCATGCCCTCATGACTTGTGCACTCTGCACTTTGGTAGAGATAGCACTGCACAGACACCACCAAGATTTACTATATTGCCTTCCAGAGAGTGGCCCAAACTGCACATGGGCCTGCGTGAACCATACCTGGGGCAGGTGAGGAGCATTGCAGCAGAATGCAGGAAGTGGAGATTTGAGGCCACCTGGCGTCAAGGTCCTACCGGTTTCCAAGCTTCCTCTTTTGATACAGATATGTTGCCCC
This sequence comes from Homo sapiens, assembly GCF_000001405.40. NCBI lineage: Eukaryota > Metazoa > Chordata > Mammalia > Primates > Hominidae > Homo > Homo sapiens. The sequence continues at coordinate 101,355,389 of NC_000009.12, forward strand.
CAGCCTTGGCAGTCTGTGCCTATGATAGGAAGGACAGCACAAATAAACACTGAAAGGCCTTTGGTGTCATTCTTTCATTATCTTGATAAATAGCACCTGATTTCTGCCTCACCGTACTAATCTCCTTATCAAACGGTTACTTAGCCACACCCTTGGTGTTCTCTCTTGAACACAGCTTTCCACTCTATACAATATGACCAGGCTGAGAATTTTCCAAATCTTTAAGTTCTGCTTCCACATTTTATTATAAGTAGTCAAAATCCTCAACATTTTGCTTAGAGATTTCTTCTAGAACATGAACATGATTTGGCCAAGTTCTTTTGCCCCTTTGTAACAGAGATCATCTAGTCCTCAGTTGCCAATAACGTGTCCTTCATTTTTGTCTGAGACTTCATCAGAATGGCCTTTACCATCTGTATTTCTGTATTATCAACATTTTGATCACAACCACTTAGGTAATCTCTAAGAAGATGGAGGCTATTTCTACAGCTTCTTCAACCTCACCTTCTTCTGAACCCTCACCTGAGTTGCCCCTAAGGCTCCTTTCATGGCAGTGGACCTGTAAACTCTTTCCATCCTTTATTTATTATGCAGTTCCAAAGCTGCTTTCCCATTTTTAGGTTTTGTTATTAACACACCCTATCTCTCTGTGCCTATTTCTGTCTTTGTTGGTCTCTGCTGCTATAATGAAATGCCTTAGACGGGGTAATTTACGATAGAAATGTATTTCTCACAGTTCTGGAGCCTGGGAGGTCTAAGATCAAGGAACTAGCAGATATGGTCTCTGGTAAGGGCTACTCTCGGCTCCATAGATAGCATCTTGTTTCTGCATCCTCACATGGTGAAGGCGGCAAGGCACCTCCCTTCAACCTCTTTTTTATTTTTATTTTTTTATTTACTTTTTTTTTGTTTGAAACTTTAATGAGAAAAAACATATACTATCGAGCTCAAGAATATGGTGTGTTTGGTGTGCCATTGGGCCAAGGGTTGGGGATACATGTAGCAGAATTAGGAAACAGGATATACATCAACAAAAATTCACACGATCATGAGAAGGAAAACTGGCACTTGGCACAATCAACTCTCAGTTTCCTCATCATTCAGCAGCATATTGGGAACCCTGCGACTGAGGCAGAACACACGTCTAGACTCTGGGCACTGCAGGGTGCCCTCCAACACATCCACCTCCAGCAGCACATGGTACATCTTCCTCAGAAACTGTTCATCCTCCTCATATCCCTCAACTGGCCCTTTAGGCACCCCAGTCAGGTGCAAGGTATGTATCAGCTGCCTCCAGGAGCACCGGTCACTCCTAGGGTATCATACTGTGCCACTAAGTGAGGGTTGAACTCCAGAGGGCAGATGCAGACCTCAGTGGCCTGGAGGTGCAGGGGGAAGCCACAGGGCCCCACCCCCACACATGCAAGCTCAGCAGATTGTCTTCAACCTCTTTCATAAGGGCACTGATCCCAATGAGGGCTTTGCCCATATGGCTTAATCACTTCCAAAAAGGCCCCACCTCTTAATGTCATCACCTTGGGGATTAGGTTTTTAAACATATAAATTTTGGGGGCATTAATATTAAGATCATAGTAATGGGCATATGTGATGTACAAGCCTATCCCTCACATTTGTGGGACCTACAGCAAGAGCAAAAAATGAAAACCTACATACAATATTATAAATATTTAAAATGAAAATCCAGGCACAGTGACTTATGTCTCTAATCCCAGTTACTTGGGAGGCTGAGGCAGAAGGATTGCTTGAAGCCAGGAGTTTGAGACCAGACTGGGCAACATAGTAAGACCCTATCTCTAAAACTTTTTTTTCTTAACAAAAGAAAAAGGTTTAATTGGACTCACAATTCTACATGGCTGGGAGGCCTCACAATCATGATGGAAGGCAAGGGGAGCAAGTCACATCTTACATGGATGGCGGCAGGCTAAGAGAGCTTGTGCAGGGAAACTCCCCCTTATAATACGGTCAGACCTCGTGAGACTTATTTACTATCATGAGAACAGCATGGGAAAGACCTGCCTCCATAATTCAATCATCTCCCATCAGGTCCCTCCCACACACATGGGAATTATGGGAGCTACAAGATGATATTTGGTTGAGTACACAGAGCCAAACTATATCATTCTGCCCCTGGTCCCTCCCAAATCTTTTATCTTCACATTTCAAAACCAATCATGCCTTCCCAACAATCCCCCAAAGGCTCAACTCATTTCAGCATTAACCCAAAAGTCCAAGTCCAAAGTCTCATCTGAGACAAGGCAAGTCCCTTCTGCCTACAAACCTGTAAAATCAAAAGCAAGCTAGTTATTTCCTAGATACAATGGGGGTACAGGCATTGGGTAAATATAGCTATTCCAAATGGGAGAAATTGGCCAAAACAAAGGTGCTACAGGCCCCATGAAAGTCCAAAATCCAGCAGGGTAGTCAAATCTTAAAGTTCCAAAATGATCTCCTTTGACTCCATGTCTTACGTCTGGGTCACACTGATGCAAGAGGTGGGTTCCCATGGTCTTGGGCAGCACTGCCGCTATAGCTTTGCAGGGTACAGCCTCCCTCATGGCTGCTTTCACAGGCAGTTGTGGAGTGTCCTGAGTCTTTTCCAGGCCTACAGTGCAGGCTGTCAGTGGATCTACCACTCTGGGATGTGGAGGACGGTGGCCCTCTTCTCACAGCTCCACTAGCCAGTGCCCCAGTAGGGACTCTGTGTGGGGGCTTTGACCCCACATTTCCCTTCCACATTGCCCTAGCAGAGGTTCTCCATGAGGGCCCCACCTCTGCAGATTTGGGTGGGGACACAGAACCAAACCATATCATTGGGCAAGTCCTATAGGCTGAGAGAAATAGTTAAATAAAGGCCATTTAGAGAAGAGTCAGTTGACCTTAATATCAGAGGGCTCTCAGAAAGATATCTTGGTAAATACTCTTACACCTTTCCCCTTGACTCATAGCAGGACCACTCTAGGCCGGTCAACAGAAAGAATTGATCCTTTTCCCTGTGTGCTGTTTTACCAGAAACTTTACCCTGCTCAGAGCAGGGACACAGATGGGGATATTTTCCAAGCAAATCTCCAGTTTCCCACTTGACTGCTATGTGAGGAACCCCTGTTAAGAGAGGATCTGACCACTGAGCATGACTGGCAGTCTGAAGAGGAGTCTGCAGATGGACCCCATTCCTCACTAAAACCTGAGCATCCCACCCGAAGCCAGTGGCTCACTCCAGTTCTTCCCCACTCTTCCTGTGCCACTCCACACTCAGTTCAAATATTGGCCAGCCACGATGGCTCATACCTGTAATCCCAACACTTCGGGAGGCTGAAGCTGGCAGATTGCTTGAGCCCAGGAGTTTGAGACCAGCCTGGGTAACGTGGCGAAACCCCATCTAGTTCAAAGTGGCTGGGGAGGCTTCACAATTACGGCGGAAGGCAAGGAGGAGCAAGTCAAGTCATATCTTACGTGGACGGCAGTAGTCAAAACAGCCAAAATTTTTTAAAAAAATATAGCTAGTCAGATGACGTACGCTTTTAGTCAGGAATACCATCAGAGGAGGGGTACTGTGAGTTTACTAGCAGACCAAATGAGAACTGTTACTGCTGTCAACTTCTGTGACAACAAAATGAACAAAAAAGAAAGGTAAACTTTGTGGTGTCAGCACTGTAGTAAGCAGAAAATCTGTAAGGCTCCTAAGAACATCCTGGTTGCTGGCAGCCATTTCTTTAAGACTTTATATAGTGTTAAAAACTAAGAAAGCCCTAACCGAAATAATACTACCCACTTAGATACTGCAGCAGTCAAAATTTTTCAGTCCTTGTGGACTTCTTGTATTCTGGTAACCTTGTACTCACAAGCCAAAATAATGACAGTGGCCTATCTTCAAACAAGTGAAATTTCAAACTTGCTGAAATTTTATTACAGATGCCTAAATTTATTAAAGATTAAATATAAGCATTAAATCAGAAGTTCCATGGGTCTGCAGTTGTGGACTATAATAATAGAAAACCAGGCCGGGCATGGTGGCTCATGCCTGTAATCCCAGCACTTTGGGAGGCCAATGTACATGGATCACTTGAGGCCAGGAGTTCAAGATCTGCCTGGCATACATGGCAAAACCCTGTCTCTACTGAAAATACAGAATTAGCCAAGGATGGTGGCTCACGCCTGTAATCCCAGCTACTCGGGAGGCATGAGAATTGCTTGAACCTGGGAAACAAAAGTTGCAGTGAGCCAAAATTGTGCCACTACCCTCCAGCCTGGGTGACAGAGCAAGACTGTCTAAACAAACAAACAAACAAACAAACAAAACTCAGTTAATAGAGATGGTCTGTCTTCATCATTGGATCAAAAAATTGCCAATTTTTGGGCAACATTAAATCTTACCAATTTGGCAAGTAATATAAAAACTGAAAATGATGGCTGTAATGTCAACAAGGGCCAAACAGAAAACTACCAAGTGAGTGACAATAGTTGGGTCCAGAATGCATCTCCTGAAATGGCTGAAAACAAATCCAAAGGTCAAACAAGTGTTTGCTTGGAATAATATGGGCTCCCAGGGAATTCAAGAAACTGGGAAACACGGAGGAAAAACCAAACTACAAGGAGATTTATTTATAATACATCATCTAATAATGAAACAAATTTGGAAGATTACTCAATGATGCAGCCATCTATTGCCTTTTCAGAGGAAAATACGCTACTCATATTTGAGTAGAAATCTTGGAAGAACCAGATTTGGATGTTGCTCTACTTTCAGGGCCAGATGATGATAAGAATGTATTGGCTGAAGCTGGGTCTAATCAAGATGGAGGTGATGTTAGAACTTCACATGATTTTATAATAAGTATGGTTTGATGCCTGGCACTTCAAGTGACTTCAAGTATGAATTGATACCAGATACTTTGATTTCAAATATGGATTATTGCCAGAATCTTGGCCAAAACAAGAAACTTGGGAAAATGGTGAATCATTCATGTTAGGTTGTTCTTGTGTTGCTATAAAGAAATACCTGAGACTGGGTAATTTATAAAGAAAAGAGATTTAATTGGATCATGGTCCTGCAGGCTTTACAGAAGCATAATGCTTGCATCTACTTGGCTTCTGGGGAGGCCTCAGGAAGTTTACAATCATGGCAGCAGGTGAACAGCGAGGAGGCATCTCACATGGCGAGAGAGGAGGCAAGAAAGAGTGTGAGGATGGGGAGGAGGTGCCACACACTTTTAAACAGTCATATCTCTTGAGAACTCACTCACTATCATACTCTCATGAGGACAGTACCAAGCCATGAGGGTCCACCCCCATGACCCAAACAACTCCCACCAGGCCTCACCTCCAACACTAGGGATTACATTTCAGCATGAAATTTGGGCACAACAAATATCCAAACCATATCATCATCTCTAATCATGAATAAGTTAAAATGCCATCATTGTAGCTATGCAGCCAAATGCAAACAAACACTAAAAAAGCACTTGCTTATTCATACAGGAGTGAGATCATTTAGCTGTGACTTTTTACACTTGGAGAAAACATGTAAGAAAACATTTCTTGGTGCACAAGAAGGATAAAAATGCAAATGTATGGTATGTAAGATCATGTTAGCAGCCAGTGTTGGAGTAAGACATGGATCTTGACCCTATGGTTTTTGTGTAGACTGTTCCAATAAATCACAACCAGGAAGGCCAGCAAGTGTAGATGAGAGACAGGATACAGAATCCCTCATGATAAAGACTATGAGGAGAATGAAGTAGGAGAAGCTGATGAAAAGTGGGTGGATGATGGAGATCAGAATGATCCATCTCAATGAGATGAATTAGCAGATGTTTGTATGTCTCTAGATATTTAACTGACCCACTATATTCCTCAAGGATACTGCATTTGGACATAATACAAATTGGCAGTTTGGAATGTTGAACTTAAAGTCTTGCAAAATGTGGTACATGCTAGATGGTAGTTATGTTGCTATGAGGACTATATGATCAAAGCCTTATAGCAAAAAAAATTTTTTAATATTTGCAAAGGACTGTACAGCAAACAACCATGTGGTTGAATTACATGCAGTCCTCATATATTCAGTTGGTTAGCAAACTAAAGTATTTTTTATTTATGGGATGTACAGTAACTATTGGGTCTTACGGAAATATAGTACCTGTCCTTATAGAGCTCACATTCATGTGCTACTCTAACATGACTGAAGAAATTCATTATGGAAGTACAGTGATAGTTGACCCAATCACTCAGTTTATCAAACTCCCCAGGCTAGCCTGTACTAGTAGAGTTGTGTTTCTATTTTTATTTTTTACTTTTATTAATTTTATTTTTAATACAGATTTTCAGTAAGGGGCATTTTCAACCTAATTGGTTCTATTTTCTTGTATTTTCCATTTTAATTTGCTTCATAACTTAAACCAAGGCTCTTCCAGTCTTAGTTATTATGTCTCAGTTATGTGCCAATGGGCATGTTTTTAAGAACTGAAGAGGTAATTTATTGCAATGAACTAACTGACCTCCTCCATTCCTTCTTTCCTTTTTGACATGAATTTTACTACCCCACAAATGAAAAATGATGTTGCAAAGTTACTGTGGTGAAGTTGAAAAATATCACTAAAATGATTATAATTTAGTATTAATTTTCTCCTGCTGCTCTAATCTGATAAATTCTTACTATATAGTGTTTTCTGACATGGTATTTGGTTTTATATCTGTTACTTTGGTGCTATTCTTGTTTGCCTTTTCTTATTTTTGCCAGTGTACTATACCTCAGTCCTATTTAGAAGACCTGATGGAAAGAAAAGTCATGTAAATAATAAGTAAAATGATTTGTTTTATGATTTATTCACCATGTCCAGTTTGGTTAGCTTGTTATGCAGTATAAGTGAAATATCAGGTTTTTACCCTATGCTCTTTTTAATCATTAAAATTAATACAAAATGTGTGTGTGGCAGCTGGGGGAGACATTCCGCCATGAAAATTGAGAGAAGGTCCCGGTAAAGAGATTTGCTTCTTTATTTTCTAGGAATATCTAGTCTTCTTAGAGTTGACTGGTCACATCTGGAATGAGGTGCTTCCTGAGAAATCTCTGGATCTCCTTCCAAGCATGTTCCTGTGCAGCTGCGTGTGGGATCACCTCTCCTCCCCAGTGTAACCTCAAATCGTGGGTCGTTGAGGCACAGCACAGAGGAGAATAGGGAGGTTCTATCAGGTGGCCTGCCCCAGGGTAAGATAGCAGGGTCCAGTTGTTCTTCCCATGTCTCTTCAGCTGTCCTATGGCTTGTTCAGCGTGTGCTTTGCTGTTGATAGTCTTATCACCTTCTCCTACAATGAAGAGGAATTGCCCCTGGGCCTCTTCAATAGGAAACAAATATTGACTGGCCCCAACTTGAGTTGTCTCAAAAGTGCGATAGAGCTCTAGTAACCCCAAGGCATTGGTGGATATTAATTGTGCAGAATGGGGAAGGGGCTGATGGATCTGACCATGATATACCTGTGGAATGCCAAAAGGAAAGTTGGTCCCATTAATAAGTACCGTGGCTGTGACTTGCTTTAGGTAAATAGCCATAGATAGTCCAATCTGTACTCCTTGACATACAGAGACTACCCCAACGCCTGAGCCAAAGACCTGAAAAAAATAATAGAAATGAGAAATTATTCTAGCCTTCATTTAGGAAAACTCCACAATCTCAAACAACCAAAGAACTTCACTGGCTAATGAGAACAAAGCAAGTATTAATCCTACCCACATCCCTAGCTATAGAGTTCTGGAATATATAATATGTATTCAAAAGAAATACTCCAAAAATATGTCAAGCTTTACCGACTATATATTACGGATTCAGTATTGTGTTAGGTTCTGAGTTTAAAATGCCCTAAAGAAATGCAAATGTCGCAGGGAAAGTAAGAAATGGCACATGACTATTGTGAATAATGTGGGTCAGGGTATAGATGATTGGTACACTTTCCTCCCTTCAGAGGAAAGGGCACCTTGTAGGAAGAGACTGAGAAAGAAAGTGAGATCAGTAGGATAGAGTTGAACAGAGGATTCTAGATTTGCTTTGTTTTTTCCAAAAGTTTTCTCATTGTGGAGAAAAATGTCATAAAGGAGGCTTGGCTCAGCTTCCTCCCTCATTGTCAGTCATCAAATAAGCATCCTTAAATTATCTATCCTACGGCAAGCACTGGGAGTCACAGAGAGAAAAGGAACAATCTCTTGTCATTAAGGAACTCACTGCCAGATGAAGACACAGGAGGAAAAAAAAAAACACACCAGATGATTGGAGCATCATAAATTCTATGATATGAGAATGTATGTAGGCTAGACTGCCAACCCAGATTAGCAGGGAATAAAGGCAGGATCAAAGAAAGGCTCTCAGAGGAAATGGGCTACAAAACAAATGAGTCTTCGTATTAAAAAATGAAAGCCAAGCCTGGTTAACATAGTGAGACCCTATCTCTACAAAACTAAAAAATTAGTTGAATATGGCGGTGTGTGCCTGTAGGCCCAGCTACTCAGGTTGAGGTGGAAGGATCACTTGAGCCCAGGAGTTCAAGGCTTTAGTGAGCTATGATTGTGCTATTGTACCCCAGCCTGGGCAATAGAGTGAGACCCTGTCTCAAGAAATAAAAATTACAAGAAAGTCAACAAGAAGGAATGGTATTCTATGCTGAGTATAGCAGACTCTGTTAGTTGCCTACACAGGAGCCATTCTCCACAATTTCAAAGCTAATATGACCTTGATTTTGTGTGGCATAGCAATATATCCAGCCCCAAGGGATAAATTCTGATGGATCCTAATCTATTTCCCTTTCTCAGCCTCTCTTCCAAGGCCAACATATTCTACCTAAGGACTTTTTTTGCCCCCCGTGCAAACTGACACAGAATCATGAAGAGAAAGCCTATGTTTATGATCATTCTTTTCAGACTAGGATGCTGGCCTGTTGACTTAATTCCTGAAACTGCCAGAGTCATTTTGTGACCTTCAGAGTAAGGCTAGAAAATTGCAGAAATGTCAATCTAATCTCCTTGATTGAAAACTACACTGAGTTTCTAAGCCAAAGTTTGAACCACCTATCACCAAACCTGTTATGTAAGAGAATAAGATACCTTATGCTGATGTTTAAGCCACCATCAGCCACTTTTCTGAGAAATGTAGCCAAAACATTCCTAATGTATTCACCATAGGAGAAACTCATGCAAAAACTGAGAGGCAATGAAGAGCAAGGCATTTAGAGGAACCACAAGTCATTCTTCATTATTTTAATTTAGAGTATAAGGTGGGAAATAACATAATAAGTCTGAAACAGAAAACACCAACTTTATGGTGCATAGCTTTGAAAGATATATTAAGCATCTTCAGTTTTTTTCCTAACTAAGGAGGAAAATTAGGACAAATTTTAAGGATGGGCATAAGATAAGACTGAATAAGTATGCAGAAGTCAGATCATAGGAAGCTTTGTCTAACATGCTAGGAAGCCTGGCCTTTATCCTATAATAAATAGGGAGACTCTTAAGCAAGCGAGTAAAATAGTTGTGTTTACAACTCTGACTTGCATAAATGGAGGCAGAAAAGCCACAGATTAATGCACTGATAAAAGCAGAAAATTATACTGTCCTGAACTAAGGTAACAGCAGTAAAAATGAAAAGGAAACTACATGTTCATGAGTTATTTTTGAGTATTGAGTGTATTGCTCCCAGTTACCAATTTGGTTGGGAATTCTAAGGAGGAGTTAAAGAAAATTGTTGTGTCACAAAATAAAGCTCCGATTCTCCTTGAGCACTGGCTCCTGGCAAGGACAGAGTCCTAGAGAGAAGCATCACTTTTCTAAAACCTTTGTTGACTTCCTGTATTTATTTTAATTGATCTCCTATATTTTAAAGGCATTTTATAAACCAATGTTTGGGATATTTTCCCTACTACTTAGAAACACATGAATCAATATACAACTCATGCCAAGCTGATGAAAATGTGAGAAATTCTTAGGGTAAGAGGGAAAAAAAAAACTAAACAAATGGAATGAGTCATATATACTCTCTATTTCCTACCCTGTATATTTAACAGGGGTGGCTTGAATCAATTAAAAGTTCCTTTCAAGCTCTGAAATTCTGTATTTTTTTAATTTTAATTTTAATTTATTATTTTTTACTTTATTTTTATTTTTTGAGACTGAGTCTCATTCTGTCACCCAGGCTGGAGTGTGGTGGCTCAATCTCGGCTCACTGCAACCTCCGCCTCTCAGGTTCAAGCAATTCTCTGGCCTCAGCCTCCCGAGCTGGAACTACAGGCGCCCGCCACCACACCTGGCTAATTTTTGTATTTTTAGTAGAGTTGGGTTTTCTCCATGTTGGCCAGGCTGGTCTTGAACCCCTGATCTCAGGTGATCTGCCCACCTCGGCCTCCCAAAGTGCTGGGATTACAGGCATGAGCCACTGTGCCTGGCCTAATTTTTATTTTTAATTGACAAATAATAATTATACATATTTATGGTGCATAATGTGATATTTCAGTGCATATATACATGGTGGAATGAACAAATCAGGCTGATTAACATATCCATTACCTCACAAACTTACCATTTCTTTGGGGTAAGAACATTTAAAATCTAATCTTTTAGCAATTTGGAAATATACAATACATTATTATTAACTATAGTCACCATGCTGTGCAACAGATCACCAGATCTTAGTCTTCTTGTCTAACAGAAACTTTGTACCCTTTGACCTACCTTTCTCCCCCACCCCTCCCAATCCTATATCTTAATATATAAGATAGAGAGCGACAGTTATGTTAAGGAAAGATGGGAACTCAGAGTGGATTTGGCCATGAAAGATAAAGTAAAAGCAAGTATAACACGAAAGAACAAAAAAGCATGACTCATATCTGTGCAGGCTTTTTAATATGTTTCTGTCCCTTGCCAAAACAGTAACTCTTGTTACAACTTCTACCACAAAATTTGGGATCAGGAAATTATGAGTTCTTAGAAGTTACTTAAAATCAACACATAGAGAAATAAGACCTGCAAGAAAGATCTCTGTTCTATCATCCTGCAGAAGAGACAATGTGAAGTAGGTTTAATGGAATTTCTCAGAGTCTGGGGAAAAAAATCTGGTTTCCAGGCCTGGATTAATCATTAACTAGCTATCTATGTGACACTGGCAAGAACAGTGATGAAAAAGTCATGCAGCAAATATAAGGGGAACGAGGCAAAGACCGTGAAAAAAGAGAATCACATAACCTCTCCACTTCTCATCTAAGCCAAGAAGAAGGCTCACAATGATAATATTGACTGACATTTCGAGGGCAGTTCCATTATATGCATCAAAAATAGCCATTTAAAATGTTCACTACATCAGTAGATTGTCAGTAATTGTTGCTTATCTTATTTCTGCAAACCTGATTATATTTTGGTGATCCTTATATAAAAAAACATGTAGTATGGAGATTTAATTTTATTTCAATTCTTATTAAAAAAAAAAATAGAGGCCAAGGCAGGTGGATCACTTGAGGTCAGGAGTTGGAGACCAGCTTTCCCAATATGGCAAAACCCCGTCTCTACTAAAAATACAAAAATTAGCCAGGTATGGTGGCACGCGCCTATAGTCCCAGCTACTCAGGAGGCTAAGGTAGGAAAATTGCTTGAACCTGGGAGGTGGAGGTTGCAGTGAGCTGAGATTGTGCCACTGCCTCTAGCCTAGGTGACAGAGCGAGACTCTGTCAAAAAAAGAAAAAAAAAAAAAAAAAAGGAAAGGAAAGAAAAAATATTGGGCAATTAACAAGGTTTAATAAACTCCAACTCTATCCCATATCATAGTAGCAAAGCACATGTTTTAAAATTTTAAAAGGCATATGGATTGGAAAGCACTAATAGTATTATGTTTAAGGGCTCATGAGTAACTAAAAATTCAGACTCATTCTTCAAAGAAATACAGATTATCTGTCCAGTTAAGTATAGTGATGAGAAAAATGATAGCTAGTTAATAATTAGAGCTATAAGATAAGGCTGAAGCAGTATGTAGAAGTCAGATCACAGAAAGTTTTGTCTAACATTTGTTCATCTTTGAGTGCTTAGTATTGCCAGGTTCTATGATAAGCATTTTGCATGCATTATCCTTTTTTTTTTTTTGCTTTGTCACCCAGGCTGGAGTACAGTGGCAGGAACATGGCTCACCGCAGTCTCAACCTCCCAGGCTCAAGCGATCTTTCCTCCTCAGCCCCTGCTAAGTAAGTGGGACTACAGGTGCCTGCTACCACACCCAGCTATTTTTTTAGTATTTATAGAGAAAGAGTTTGGCTATGTTGCCCAGGCTGGTCTTGAACTGTCGGCCTCTATTAATCCTCCCATCTTGGCCTCCCAGAGTGCTAGAATTACAGGCTTGAGCCATCACACCCAGCCAGTCCCTTTTTAAAAAATAACCATAATATCCTATGACTTCTCTTAACTTCCAAGTACGATTCTCAGTGAACTTGAAATTCTATTCATGCCCATGTTATTTATAATTCACATGATTTATTTCTCATCCAGTGTCTTTTGCTCAGAAAGACAAAATGCATAGGAAGTTAGCCTGTGCACATTGTAGTATCAAAAGGCACTGGCTTCTGGCCAAGTGTCAGATCATGCCACTGCACTCCAGCCTGGGTGACGGAGCAAGACCCTGTCTTTTAACAAAAACAAAAACAGAAACAAAAAAACCCCAGGGACTCAAACCTACTGAAAAGACAAAAATTACCTTTGGATGTCTCAGGAGAAAGTTGGCAGCCTCCTCAAAATATTCCAAATCTGTTACTTCTGGTTTGCGGGGCAGGTCTTCATAGTTATGGTAAGCCAAGGCCAAGGAGGCGAAGCCACGACTGGCTAGGAGGCTGGCCCGAAATTCAAGCAGCCCACCCAAACCACCAAACAAATCAATTACCCCTGGGAAGAGACCCTCTCCTGAAAAATAACAAAACAGAATTGTACATGAAGAGAAGGTGTGGAAAAGATAAGAAAACTTGAAAATACAAAGCAGAAATACAAATGATTAGATAATAAAAGATAAAATAAATAAATAAAAGATAATAAAAACATGAGAACACAAAGCAGAAATGCAAAATTACATTCAAATGTAATTTTGAAATTAACATTTAAATATTCAAATACAATTCCAACACTTTCAGCCTTCTACCTGGGGCAGAATTAAGGTCCATTGAATATATAATGGAACACAATATCTAGACGTTTGACTAGGAACTACATTCAGAGACATATTTACTCTCTGCAGCTGAGGAAATGGGAATTCACAGTAGTTTCTATACTCTTGTTGTAAAGAAAGGCATATAAATTAGGCCAGGGCTTCTTAACCTATAAAGAAGTATACAAATAAGCTTTAGGAAATCTGTGAAGATCCTGAAATTACAATATATGCAAAATATGGTATATATATATTTGTAGGTGAATTTTACTTATGAGAGGTTCCACAGATTTAATTTGGTTCTCAAAGAAATACATGATTCAAAAACATTTTTTAAATGATTGTATTAGCTAAAATCCTGACTTAACACTGCTCTGCTACATTCATTTGACTATACAGTGATGAAACCTTACACCTAAGCTTATGTAAATGATGAGCCCCTTTATTCAATAACGCCATGTTCATTTTTTGCAGGCTGACACGTGGTAAAAAGTAGGGACGGCCAGAGTATCATTCTACAGTCACTCTGTATAGGCAGCTTTTTTCCAAAATAAAGCAGAGCCCACACACTGAAAGAAACTTACGATGCACTTATTAGGGATATTCTATTCTTTTATAAGTGGTTTTAACTAAGACAGAGTGATCCCATCCATATTTGAAAGAAGTGGCTTGATTTAAAGGAGTATTGGGAATTTTTAAAAATTACTATAATTAAGTACAATGAATAAATAATAAATAAAGTGAAGTTGAATATATCTTAGTTTTAAATTATCATTTGCATAAATGAATAAGGATGTTTTTACCATCTGATTGACAAGAATGGGGGAACACTTAAAAGTACTGAGTCTTTTATCTTGGAAGAATGTTACAGTCATGAAATATTTGTGATCTGACTCAACCTCCTTATAACCTCACACAACTCAGCTCTCTTTTGTTCCCCCGATAGAAAACACACTTGAAGCGGGAGACCCAGCACATGCAGTGTTCAAGAGGATTCACAAACAGCACACCCTAAACCAGCACATCATCCCAAGATGGAAGGCCTGTACCAATAAGCAGATTTTTAACTGGGGTGGGATAATAGAGGCACAGCAATTTGTGCCATTTAATTCTTGGTCCCTATACATAATAAAGTGGTCTATATGCTATTTACTGGGTATTTTAAAAACTCAAATTTATCCGAACAAGTACATGGGTTATGGTGAATTTGGAAAGGAAAGCTTTTATTGCTTTTTTTTCTTCTGAGAAATTAACTTTGCTTTATTTGGCCCCACAATAAACTCTGAGAAATGTACCAAAACATGTTTAAACCACTTATTTATTGGTATTTGGAGATTTCTGTGGGAAACTATGAGCGTTCTGATAAGTTTTATAGCCATTAGGAAGCATGCTATATTATTAGATTCATGGAATAGTCTATAAATATGTAATATTTATGAAGCTAGAGGTTACAAAGTTTCTTGCATCCTCTATATTTGCTGCAATCTTTCAGTCCATCTTATCTCCAGCTTGTTGTGGCAACAAGGTAATAACCCATGCCTAAACTGAAACTCAACCTGACAGAGCCTGTACAAGGATCTGGGATATGGTTTCCATCACATCAAGATGAGGGTCTTCATATAGCTATAAGATTAGAGCTATAAGATAAGGCTGAAGAAGTATGCAGAAGTCAGATCATAGAAAGTTTTGTCTAACATTTGTTCATCTTTGAGTGCTTAGTATTGCCAGGTTCTATGATAAGCATTTTGCATGCATTATCCTTTTTTTTTTTTTTTTTTTTTTTGCTTTGTCACCCAGGCTGGAGTGCAGTATCAGGAACATGGCTCACTGCAGCCTCAATCTCCGAGGCTCAAGAGATCTTTCCTCCTCAGCCCCTGCTGAGTAGCTGGGACTACAGGTGCCTGCTACCACACCCAGCTAATTTTTTAGTATTTATAGAGAAAGAGTTTGGCTATGTTGCCCAGGCTGGTCTTGAACTGTTGGCCTCTATTAATCCTCCCATCTTGGCTTCAGTGCAGAAAAATTTAGCATAAATCCAAAGCTATGTAAAGCCCATAATGTAGGGACTACATAAACTATATGTAGTCACATTCTTAGACAAGCTTCAGAATTGTTGAGATGAAACTTGAGCTGGAGTAGAATATTACCACATTCTTGTTCAGACCCAAGGTTAACATTGATTGTAAGGCAGGAAGCAGTGCTCTAGGTATTATCCATATTCAAGTTAAATTTCTGGAGGGATAATGCATTTAAGGTGGAAAAACAATAATAACAATAACCAGAGTAATTCTACAAGCTATTCAAGCTAAATTTCTAGACGGATAATGTATTTAAAGTGGAAAAACAAGAATAACAATAAGCAGAGTAATTCTACTCACCTGGAGGGAGAAAGAGAGCTCCTCGAAGGCGGCCTTCTCGAACCTTAATTCGTGTGACACCAGGTGCCACATACCACCTCTCCAAAGTCAGGCTGGCCTTTGGAGCACTGGCAACTTTATTGTTCACTATTAACTCTAAGTCATAAAGTTTTACTTGGACCTGGAAAGGCCTATTCATCACATCTCTTTTCAACAGTCTTGTTAATAGCTTTTCAGGTTTCAGAGACCAGAAGAGACCCATGGGGTGGACTCCCATATAATCCCCTCCAAGTGAAGAAGCATGATTCAGGTCCACCTCACCGAATTCATTGGCCCTATAGTGGGCTTGAGAATAAAACATGTCTCCGTTTTCATCTTCCAGTGATGCCTGAAAACTCACCATCTGAAAGGGAATCAGGCCTGTAGCTCGGATATGCACTGGCTCATCAACAAGTGCACTCACAGGGGTAGCTGTCAACTGGATCATTTTTTTAGTGTGGCACCTGGGATGATTCTTCAGGAATATCTTCAGCAAAACCTCAAAACCTCAAAAAAGAAAGAAAGAGGAGCAGTAAAATAAAGTAGAGATAAGGGTTGATGAAAGGTGAATTGAATCAGCAGTCAGACCACTTAGGAGTCAGTTCTAACCCTCTAGTTCTTTAGAAACTTCCTGATATAGTCTTCTAGTACAAGACACCTGAGAGCTTTCAATGAATTTCCAGAAGACAGTAAGCAAGCTGACAAATTTTATAACAATAATGAACCACTGTTAAAGAAGCAGCAGCCAAAATATGCATGAATGGTATCAATACATCTAGGAAGATAACACAATCTGTTATACAGAACCTTTAAAAGAAATCAGGTACAATGGAGGATAAAAATAAGATGTGGGTTTGAAAATATGGTTATTTATTGAACGTTTATATATATATGAGACATTTGACTTCACGCTAATCCCTTCCTCAAGTCCTGGAAACAGAATGCCTTGCATCCAAGAGTTTACCTGCAACAGAACATAAAAAAATAGAGGGATCATGGAATAGGAATACTATACAGCCATGAAAAAATGAAACCATGTCCTTTGCAGCAACATGGATGCAGCTAAAGGCCATTTCCCTAAGTGAACTAATGAAGAAACAGATAACCAAATACCTCATGTTCTCAATTATAAGTGGGAGCTAAACATTGGGTACACACGGACATTGGGAACAGAAGACACTGGGGACTGCAAGAGGACAGAGAGAGGGATGGGGGCAAGGGCTGAAAAACTACCTATTGGGTACTTAATATCAGGGTGACAGGTTCACCTCAGCATCATCACACAATATACCTATGTAACAATCCTGCACATATACCCCCGATCCTAAAATGAAAGTTAAAAAAAAAAAAAACCCAGAAGGATCTTCTCAAAAGAATGAGAATAAAATCTTTGGAAAGAACAAAAGGGGTGGTGTGTGTATTGCTCTTTAGAGAAAAAACATCCATAGCTTTGTACTTAGGATTTACCCAAAGGAAAGCAAAACTAGAAGCTGACAGGCCATTCAGGTACATAAAAGTCTTGCTGAGCTTTTTGTAACCTTTTAAAAATTAAGAAATGCCCATCTCCTTTTGATTAGTGTGAAGAAAGCCACAAGAGTTACCACTGTTCTCTCTCTAACAAACACAACTATCTGCATAAACTACAAAATTAGTTTTGGGGTTGTTGGTTTTTTTTTTTTTTTTGGTCTTTATTTTTGTTTTGTTTGTAACTCATTAGATTACTGAGAATGCAAAGAATCTACATGAATTGAACTCCAGCAAGTGACAAGCTGCTCCATAGGAAACAGAAAGTTTTCTCTCCTACATGCTGATTTACAATTATGATAAAGCAGCAAAAAATAAACCCAACAGAAAAAAATAAGGAGAAATCAACAGAAAATTTAATGTACTTTTAATGGATATGTGTGGATTGGTTTGATAAACTAGAATTCCAAGAAACTGTAGCCACAGAGTAAGTCTTTCTCTATCTGCCAACTTTCCGTAGAGCTTCACCATGTGCTCAGACCGAGATCAGGGGTGCAAGCTGAAAGAAATCTGAGGCATTGCACACCTTCATGTAAAATAAGGCAGCTGCCTTTCAATGAATGGGGTCAGAGGAGCAGAGTAGAGAGAGAATAGGGAATAGGAAATGAAAACACCCTTATATCATATTTCACAAACTGTTCTAAAGACAGCAAATTCTTGCTCAGCTGCTTTTCCTTGCTGTAAAATAAGCTACCAGTAATTCTAAACCAATCTAGAATGCATTGTTTCTGGACCAAATATAAGCATGCATACTTACAAAAATGCTTGGCAATGAGTACTTGGCCTATTTGTCCCCATAGCCATAAAAAATAATGTGATCATGTCTTTTGCAGGAACAGGGATGAGTATCAAATAGCTGAGGAAAGACTAGAATTTATTTTTAAATTCTGTGACTGACTTCCAAAAATCCCTTATCACTAGAAGTACTGGCAAAATATCAGATATTAAAGGATCAGATTTAATTCTTTGATATAAGCATGAAATTTTTACTGATAGCTTTCAGGGCTAGCATAAACCATTAAGTAACCCAAGAAGCATGAGAGACAAGAATGAAGTCTAGTATAAAATGCAAGGCAGGCTGAACGATAACGATGTTTTGTTTTATAGGAAAAGTCAACACTAATAATATACTCCAGAGAAACTATCACCTACTTGGATGTTTTTAACATTATAGCAAACTAAAACGTCAAGCTTCAAAATGACTAAACCTGTAACTTATAGCTGGAACATTTTGCTGAATTTGTCATTATACTATAATTTATAGTGTTCAACATCTGAGGACTCAGCACTATCTTGGCAAACAGACTAACTCCTCCCACCCATCAAAGGTCTCGGGGGTAGGGGCGAAGCCCTTTTCTCCCCATCAATACTGAGCTTTATACCATACAAGAAATCAGTGAAAGGTAAACAACAAGGTACAATGTAATTCTATTATATATTTTGCTTCTGTTATTTGTGACATATACAAGTATATTTTTGGTTTTGGAGCTATAAATTAATTTAGCAAGCTTCAAAGCTCATAAATTTTAACTTTTCAAATGAGAAGTAACTTTTCAAATAAAGTTTAGGACTTTACGCCTATTAATTTTACTATCAAAATGTCTGAAGGACTCCATTTAAATAATTATAATTCTTCTAAATATCATTTGAAGAATTATTTGTGGACACTAGACTCAAGACTACACTAAATCCAAACAGTACACATGACCTAAGTTTTGAAGTTTCTCATCTCAGTTACCTGTCTTTCAACTTGCTACTTGCTCTCATGCTTTCATTCACTAAATACAAACTGTCAGATTCTTAAACTGGACCCTCTCCTCCAAGGCCCTATCAGATTAACTTTGTAAATATGCATCTTCAGTCTTTAAGCACCAACATTTTAAGCTGAGACTAATGCCTAGAGCCACATTTCTAAGTTCAGCACTAAAAATTCATAATTCTGGGGTATTAGCCTAAAATGTACCTGAAAAGTGAACCAAGTTTCAGATATTTTCATAAATCTTGAAACTCCAAACTAGAATTCCAATATTTTTAAAAATATCTCTCATGAAGACAAGGCAACTGTATTTACTGCATCAACACTATTAAAGGATAACTGATAGCAACAAAGGGACCTACCCATATTTCAGAAGGCCAAGATTTGTCATGATAAAATCTAAAAAAATGGGCAAAGGCAATGAGATCCTAAATACCACTATCATAAAAATAATCAGTTTCTATATTTCTATCTTCCTTCTGCTATAAGAGGAACCAAAGAAGTCAAATAGATAATTGTTCTGTCTGAGCCAACAATGAAATCTTTAAGAACAGGTATATTCCCTGTTATTGTCTCAGGGCATTATATCATACCTGCTTTATTTAAAAAAAAAAACCTTCAGAAATAAAAATGAGTTAGCCTTGTGAATGTTTTGAAGCATAGTTTCTTGAATTTCTGTGATGAACTCTTCAAGCAATTCAATTTTTCAGCGTCATCACTCAAAATTCCCTTTGATATGGGATCTATCCCATGATTACTGATATGGTTTGGCTGTGTTCCCAACCAAATCTTAACCTTGAATTGTAATAATCCCCACATGTTAAGGGCAGGGCCAGGTGGAAATAAATGAATCACGGGAGTTGTTCCCCCCCATACTGTTCTCATGGTAGTGAATAAGTCTCACAAGAACTGATGGTTTTATACATGGGAGTTCCCTGCACAAGCTCTTTTGCCTGACACCATGTAAGACATGACTTTGCTTCTCCTTTGTCTTCTGCTATGATTGTGAGGCCTCTCCAGCCATGTGAAACTTTGAGTCCATTAAACCTCTTTCCTTTATAAATTACCTACTCTCAGGTATGTCTTTATTAGCAGTGTGTGAACAGACTAATACAGTTACAAAGCAGCTTCCTCCTTTGTTGTTTGTCAGAGTGGCTCTTTGTTCCTTCAGGATCCTAAACTTCTCATTCAAAGTCATCTCTGTCTGTTTTCCAGCACAATTTATGTCAATTGTAGGGTTCCACTTTAGGAACTTTCGTTATGTCAGATTGCTTCCATTTTGTTAAAAATGAAGATACAGCAGTATGAATTAATCCTGATTTCTGTGTTAGGCATTGCACTGCTCCAGGATTGTCCAAAGATAGAGTCAAAATTCCTCCGTTTGTGGTGAAAGTGAGACAGCCAGTGGGAAGGAGTCCATGGAAAAACTCCAACCGCGGGCGAACTGGGAGGAATGCACACTGGGGTGCCACCGAAGTTTCTGCTATTTGCAGTAGGGAGGAGCCTGGCCCCTCCTCTTCCTGTGTGGAACCTTGGATTCAAATGGCGAGGCAGGGAGCGCACTAGCTGCGATTCCGGCTTTGCCGAAAGTAACTGTTCCCCCTTTTCTCCTTTTTGCCCAATAAGTTCCATTTTTCTCACTCCGCAAATTGTGAGCCTAAATTTTTGTGGCCGTGGGACAAGGACCACATCTTTAGCTGAACTAAAAAGAAGTCCTGCAACAAAAATCTGCCATTGATGAGTTCTCTTTCCGACTACGTTATCCAGCAGTTGCTGTTGTGTTCAACTGGGTCTGAACCTTCACGTCTCTTCTGAAATGAAAAGTTGCCTGACGCATGTGTTTCTGATGGCTTAATTTATTTCCATTCTTGGTAAAATTGGCTGGAATGTTTTTTTTTTCTGTTTAGCTGGTTAGGTCCCTTGAGAACTGCAACTGGTTTTTTTCTGCACTTCATATTTGTCCCAGAAGGTTTGCCTTCCTTTTTAACACTAGAAAATATCGTTCTATATTCCTGTCACCTAGAGACGGATGATTCATAGGATTAATTTCTTTGTGAATTCCAGTTGCTTTCCTAGATGCAAGGCCAGTGATAACTCCATAAAGCTGTCTCTTTCCAGGCATTACTCATCCTCTGTGCTCAGACTAGTCTTACCAAAGCCAGAATTCTGTTGAATTCTCCATCATATGCTCATCCTGAATTGCCAGGCTCCAGTTAGAAAATTATGCTTCTTTCCTCCCTGTCAATTTAGTTTGATGATATCATCCAAAGACATACCAATTTTGTTGAGATTTTCATTGTTGCGGGCTTTCAGTGGCAGCAATGGGGTCACCCTGCCTCCCACCAACCAGGTACCAAAATGGTTCATGGCTGGGGATGCCTCACTAGAACAGTCAGCAGAGAAGGCCACAGTTGGAGGCCTGCCACCTCCCACTCACGCACAAAGACTAGCTGCATTGTTGGAGGCCTGCCACCTCCCACTCGTGCACAAAGACTAGGAGCATGTAGGCATGCTGGCCCGGTTTAGTGGTATTTTAAAGATTGTTTCAAAATGAATGGAAGAAATGATATAGATACAAATAAATAGATCTAAAAGTTAGAGAAAGAGAAACATAGAAAGCAATTTTGTAAGAGGGCATTAATGGGCATTAGGTAGATTCCATGTCTTTGAAACTGTGAAAAGCTATTGTGAATAGTGCTGCAATGAACTTTCATATGCATGTGTCTTTATGGTAGAGTGATTTATTTATATTCCTTTGGATAGAGAAAAGCTTTATGGAATTCTTGTGTGGTCAAAAGCTGAGTGAGAGTCAATGAAATCATTCATAAAATTTTATTAAAATTAGCTTTACTATTGATAATACTCTAATACAAAGCAAAATTTAGTTTTCTCTTTTGAACAAGATTTTTGGATAGTATTAATGAGAGATAATAAAATTTTTGTTTACCTTTTGAGTCTTAATACAACACTATCAAATGTTGGGTGGACCAAAGGGAGTCCCTGCTGGTTCCCCAACATTAAAGAGCCCCAAATCAGTTTTCTATATTTACACCAGATTGGGGAAGTTTCAAAAATCAGAAGGCAAAAATTACAATGAGAAAGCTGATTAATAATTTCCTGGGGCAATGTGGAGACAGACTAATCAGATAAAGATTGACAAAAAGGCCCACATCCCTTGGCTCAACTCCTTGCTGGGAACCCAGAGGTTTTTTCACAAGAGAGGGTAAAATGGTCTGGGGGTGGAGTACAGAAGTTCCTGAGACTAGAGCATAAAATATAAGGATTGATAGGATTATAAAAGCTAAAATGTTTACAACACCCCTTCATGCTAAAAACTCTCAGTAAACTAGATATTGATGGAACATATCTCAAAATAATAAGAGCTATTTATGACAAACCCATAGCCAATATCATAATGAATGGGCAAACCTGGAAGCATTCCCTTTGAAAACCAGCACAAGACAAGGATGTCCTCTCTCACCTCTCCTATTCAACAAAGTATTGGAAGTTCTAGCCAGGGCAATAAGGCAAGAGAAAGAAATAAGGGGTATTCAAATAGGAAGAGAGGAAGACAAATTGTCTCTGTTTGCAGATGACATGATTCTATATTTAGAGAACCCCATCATCTCAGTCTAAAAACTCCTTAAGCTGATAAGCAACTTCAGCAAAGTCTCAGGATACAAAATCAATGTGCAAAAATCACAAGCATTACTATACCAATATTAGACAAGCAGAGAGCCAAAACGTGAGTGAACTCCCAATCACAACTGCTACAAAGAGAATAAAATACATAGGAATACAGCTTACAAGGGAAGTGAAGGACCTCTTCAAGGAGAACTACAAACCACTGCTCAAGGAAATAAGAGAGGACATAAACAAATGGAAAAATAATTCCATGCTCATTGATAGGAAGAAGTGATACTGTGAAAATGGCCATACTGCCCAAAGTAATTTATAAATTCAATACTATTCACAGAACTAGAAAAAACTACTTTAAATTTCATATGGAACCAAAAAAGAGCCCATATAGTCAAGACAATCCTAAGCAAAAAGAACAACACTGGAGGCATCATGCTACCTGACTTCAAACTATACTACAAGGCTACAGTAAACAAAACAGCATGGTACTGGTACCAAAACAGATATATAGACCAATGGAACAGAACAGAGGCCTCAGAAATAACACTACACATCTACAACCATCTGATCTTTGACAAACCTGACAAAAACAAGCAACAGAGAAAGGATTCCCTATTTAATAAACGGTCCTGGGAAAACTGGCTAGCCATATGCAGAAAATGGAAACTAGACTTCTTCCTTACACCTTATACAAAAATTAACTCAAGATGGATTAAAGACTTAAATGTAAAACCTAAAACTATAAAAACCCTAGAAGAAAACCTAAGCAATACCATTCAGGACATAGGCACAGGCAAAGATTTCATGACTAAAACACCAAAAGCAATTTCACCAGAAGCCAAAATTGACAAATGGGATCTAATTAAACTAAAGAGCTTCTGTTCAGCAAAAGAAACTATCATCAGAGTGAACAGGCAACCTACAGAATGAAAGAAAATGTTTGCAGTCTATCCATCTGACAAAGGGCTAACATCCAGAATCTACAAGGAACTTAAACAAATTTACAAGAAAAAAACAAACTGCCTCATCAAAAAGTGGGTGAAGGATATAAACAGACACTTCTCAAAAGAAGACATTTATGCAGCCAACAAACATATTTAAAAAAAGCTCATCATCACTGGTCATTAGAGAAATGCAAATCAAAACCACAATGAGATAATATCTCATGCCAGTTAGAATGGTGATCATTAAAAAGTCAAGAAACAACAGATGCTGGAGAGGATGTGGAGAAATAGGAACAGTTGTACACTGTTGGTGGGAGTGTAAATTACTTCAACCATTGTAGAAGACAGTATGGTGATTCCTCAAGGATCTAAAACCAGAAATACCATTGTTAGGAGGTCTCCAACTCCTGACCTCAGGTGATCCGCCTGCCTCAGCCTCCCAAAGTGCTGGGATTACAGGCGTGAGCCACCGCATCCGGCGAATGTCGCATTTTGACATGCCCAGGAACCTCCAGTTATTTGGAAATCTTTAGAAGAATTCACCCAATTTATACAGCTATTGCAGCCTGATGGCAAATCCCTGGCTTTGTTAGCCTCAAGGCTTTAAAAAAATCTGAGATTCTTTATTTAAAAGTTCCAAAAAAGCCAATTTTACAAGAACCTATATGGCCAATCACTATTCTTGCTGCACTTTATGCAAATAATCAGGTCAAGCATAATGAGACTAAAATTCATTTTGCAAATAAATTGGTCCTACAATAATTTATCCTTGGTAGAAATAGAGAAACTTAGAAAAAAATTGTTTCAGAAGAAAACTATTGTACACCCATGATTAGATTCTAGTCTTAACCATTGTTTTTATTACTTGCCTACAATTTGGACTAAATCCTAAATTATTTTGTGGCTACAAGAAGTCTCTAAAGACAAACCCGGTTTTAATTTTCTTCATGTTGTTTTTAGTTGGCTCCCTAATGGAATAGGTTCTTTTTTGTTGTTGTTGTTCTGGCATACAAATTCTGTTTTTGATTGTAGTCCCTTGTGTGCATATTAATGTTATTTATCTCTCATTGTTTTACTTCATCCAAGAAAATCAAAATCATGGTACTCCAAAGACTAGAGATGATTCAAGAAAGCCTATGCATTTTTTCTCATCTGAAATCCCACTGGGCCTGATCTGTTTCCCATTGCCAGTGCACTGCTGCTAAAGCTGTACAATATCAAGCACCCTTCCTCTAAACTCAAAGACCATTGAAGAAGAGGACAGTGTGTGAGATTCTAAAAGCCCAATTAGAAAGCTGGAGTGTGGAGGTTATAGCAACTCCATCTTGAATTCTAATCTGCCAGTTGACATCTGATTAATCCCACTTCTAGGAATGCCTTTAAGATTTCTGCCTTATCTACTATCTCTTGTATAAGAGCACCTACCATAAATCCTACCCTTAGGCAAATTCCTACATATTCCTGCTGAAGCATGTATATCCTTTCCCTATGGTATATCAACCCTGGGTCTGGGGAGTAACAGTGAGGGGATCCTTTGTCTCACAGCTGCCTGAGACACAGCTTCTGTTTGTAAGCCCCTATTAAATGTTTCTCTCTGAGAAACTGTTTTGTCACTCTCTTTGTTCAGTGTCTCAGCTCCCTTGGCCTTTGGGGGTAGGTTTGCACAGACCTGCTCACTTACCACAGAGCAAGCTTACTCACAGCATGGTGGCTGGGTTGGAAGGGCAAGCAACACAAGAGAGAAAAAGCTAGGTAGAAGCTGTATCCTTTTTATATCCTAGCACTGGAAATCACATAGCATAATCTCTGCCATTTAATAGCAGCCACAAGCTCCCATCAAAATTCAAGTGGAGAAAATGTTGATACCTATTAACAGTAGGAGATATGTCAATCACATTGTAAAATTTTTTTAAGTGGATGAAACGTGTATGTGTATTTGCTTTTTATTTTTTAAGATGGAGTCTTGCTCTGTCGCCCAGGCTGGAGTGCAGTGGTGCAATCTTGGCTCACTGCAATCTCCACTTCCCAGTTCAAGTGATTCTCCTGCCTCAGCCTCCCGAGTAGCTGGGATTACAGGCACCCACCACCATGCCTGGCCAATTTTTTTGTGTTTTTTTAGTAGAGATGGGGTTTCAGCATGTTGGTCAGGCTGGTCTCAAACTCCTGACCTCAAATGATCCGCCTGCCTCAGCCTCCCAAAGTGCTGGGATTACAGGCATGAGCCACCGCACCTGGCTGTGTGTGTGTATTTGTATGTGTATTTGTGTATACATTTTTGGGAAATGCAATCTGCCACAAGAGGAAAGGAGGAATAAAGGAGCAAATAATAAATGGGATGAATGGAAATGGGAGTTTAAACCCACACATATCAATAATTACGTTAAATACAAACAGATCAAACACTCCAATTAGAAGACACAGGCCAGGCGTGGTGACTCATGCCTGTAATCCTAGCACTTTGGGAGGCTGAGGTATGAGGACCGGTTGATCCCAGGAGGTTGAGACCAGCCTGGGCAACATAGTGAGATCCCATCTCTACAAAAAAAAAGTAAAAATTAGCTGGGTGTGGTGGGGCAAACTTGTAGTCCCAGCTGCTTGAGAGGCTGAGGCAGAAGAATTGCTTGAGCCCAAGAGGTCAAGGATGCAGTGAGCTGTGATCATGCCACTGGGTGAAAGAGCTGACTCCACCTTGGGTGAAAGAGCTGAAATCCTATCTCTAAAATAAATACATACATAAAAATAAAAAAGAAGACAGATTGTCAAACTAATTGAAAAAGCAAGTGGTTATTTTTCAGAAACACATTGTCAAAAAAAGACAGATTGAAAGTAAAAGAAAATATATGCAACAGTGTTTGTGTTGCATATATGTGTATATATAGATGAGAGATGAGACAGACACAGACATAAATACATGCTGACAAGAATGAGCCTACAGAGAGAGAAGTCCTGAGAATGATAATTCAGTGGTGAGTAAACATTGAATATGTTTCCTGAGAAGCTTAAAAATAAGTGATACTATAGCTTCCAAGTACCGTATTTCATTTGTTTTCTTGTAATCAAGAAATTGAGTACTTAAGATCATACAGAAATACATGAGAGTCAGAAATGGAATCTACATTTCCAACTCTTAGTCAAATTGATTAGTACTTCAAAAAGAATTTATCAAGAGTCTACATGTCATAGTCACTGACAGATAAGATGCAGTTCCTACTCTAAATAAGCTTAAGGTATAGTATTTCTTCTACATATTGTTACAGTAGGTAGCTAGTCATGCATGAGTGGGGCAGGAGAGGGTTGCCCCCACCCACCAGAATGTCAGGTGACTATCAGGTGATGGTCACTCTGCTTCTCTAAAATAACAATTGGTCACAGCCAGCACCAGGGAGAGGCAGTTTCTCAACTGATAAAAACACCTGAAATTGATAATTGGCAGCTTTCAGGAACTGGGCGAATGAGCTCAAACATGCACATTAAGAGTCAAAATGGCAGAGTATGACCTTCCAGGGGCATTCCACCAGAATTTGAAAGAAAGCCTCAGATAAGCATGCATAAAACTCCAGTAAACACACTGTGCATGCCCACATCCCAAGCACAAGCAGGGCACCATGCATGTGGGTGGCTCCCCATAACCCTTAAGGGAAGGATGAAGGGAAAGGGGTGCAAGATGCCAGAAGTAGGCCAGCATATAAAATCCTAGGTTCAAGGATGAACGAGGCACTTGACCTCCAAGATGCCTGCTTGGGTCTCTCCCAAGTGTGTTTTCCTTTCTTTCCTGTTCTAAAGCTTTTTAATAAACTTCTGCTCCTGCTCTGAAACTTGCCTTGGTCTCTTTTACTGCCTTATGCCCCTCAGTTGAATTCTTTCTTTCGAGGAGGCAAGAAATGAGATTGCTGCAGACCCATACAGATTTGCCACCAGTAACTCAGATATTCACCACCCCTAACAATATTATCCATTCAATTTATTTCTATACAAATATCACATGCATCAACCAGCGTGCCCAAACAGAAATAAGTCAATTAGAAAGTCATTAACTTTAGCTCAAACTTATACTTGCTTTTTTTGGTATTTTTTAACATTACATTTCACTACCAGAAAGCATTCCTGAATTGCATAAATAGGTATAACATATATTCAAAGCTTCAAGAAATATTTTCACAGAATCTAATTCTAACATGGCATTAGTCTTACATTAAAAGAAAATTACCCTTCAAACAAAATATAAATAGGACCACAGTACAGTTTCCCAGAATAGGAGGGCTTATTCTATAAAATTCTAGGCAATAGTCTTTTAAAAGAGGGAGAAATATTGATGGGGATGGGGAAGACAGAATAAAGAAATTTTAACAAATGACTTCTGATAGCCTTTCATTTTCCTCAGAAATATAAATTTCAGCTCAATATCATCATAATAGCAAGTCCCTACTGACATCCTTTCTAAGCAAATCAAAATGAAAAGACACACTTATCTGAGCACTCTGGGCAACTCTACAGCTGAGATTATGAAATGAACAAAAAGACTATTTGTCCTCATGAACTGCTAAAATTCCAAACACTGAGGTAAATAAACTCTGATTTAATTCAAGAGCAGAGATTTTAACTTATTTCCAATCGGCCCAAATAAATAGTCCTGATTAAAATACAAAGTACCTGGATTCTTCCTCTTGAGCCTTCTTTTCCAGCAGTAGAGGGAAAATGACAGACACCCTACCAAAACTTGCCCAGAAGGCCAAAACCTCAAATATGCCTTTGGAAGTATAACAGAGCTAACTTAAGTGCTAGGTCACCACATACCTCTTGCTCTAGTTTCCTATTAATTTTTAACAGTTATTGAACCCAATAAATGTATCACTATTTTCCCTCTTCATTTTCTGTTCTCTCTAAATCCGTCCCTCTTAGGGATTGCCACTACATTTTACTCACATTATTTTAATAATTTTCTTTATAGAAGTTGTTTGACCCCTATTGGCACCATTAGGGCATATTTTTCTTCTGCAATAAAATACTCAAGGTAACTTCTGGAGGGCTCTGCATTTGCAAATGGTTTCTTTCCTGAGACAACAAAAGATGAAAACTACAAATGTGATCACAGTAATGAGTAATAAAATACTCAAGCCCCACTTTCAGAATTTGGGGAGGACCAAATCTCCTACTAATCCTCCTCAACTAATTCACATGGTTTCTTGAAATAGCTACAGAACGGAGTGTTAGTAGGATTTTACATGACAATAAAAGGACTATCTCCATAAAAGTACTGGATCTTTTTTGAGGTGATAGAGCATTTAAAAAGTGCAAACTTAAAGGAAACTTAAATTCAACTTAATTTTAAGGAAGTCTGATCAGCCAAATACTCCATAAAAAACTTGAAAACTATTAAGCTACTACCTTGCAAGACTTATGCTACAGATACAACTGATTAAGAATTATTAACTGGGATACATAAAATATTCCTAAAAAAGTAATGTCTAAAAATCTCAGGTGAATATGAGAAAAAGTCTTAAACAGGTACTTAACAGACAATAGGACACAATCATAAGCTTATGGGAAAAGGCTTAATCTCATTATCAAAGAAATGCAAATTAAAATCATGGTGTGTATTTCATACCTAAAAGGTTGGCAACAATTAAAAATTCCAAAAATAAGAGTTGGTTAGGAAGTGAATCACTCAGACTCAAGCCCTACTAAGGGAATATAAATTGGTACCACCACTTTGGAAAGCAATTGGACATTGTCTAATAAATGTGACAATATGAATAACTTTTGACCCAGCAATTCTTCTTCTAGAGAATAAAAATAAATGAATTACAACTACATGCAATAACCTGGATGAATCTTATAAACATAATGTCGTTAGAAACTAGTCATAAATACACATAAATAAATCTTTCAAATTTGTATTTGCTGAACTAAAACTATAGGCCACATTTTTGGAGTAAATCTTTAAACAAAAGCAAGGAAAGGATTACTGAGAGTCTGGATTGTGGTGAAAAATTACATTAAAAGAATGGAAGTAAGTAAATGAAAAAAATACATACCTAGCAAGAGAACCTGCCCCCAAAATTTCAGCGTAGGTTCTATTTTCCCTAAGTGTCGGCTGGTCTGAGAAATAAAGAGAAAGAGTACAAAGAGAGGAATTTACAGCTGGGCCTCCGGGGGTGATGTCACATATCAGCAGGACCGTGAGGCCCCGAGCCACAAAACCAGCAAGTTTTTATTAAGGATTTCAAAAGGGGAGGGGGTGTATGAACAGGGAGTAGGTCACAAAGATCACATGCTTCAAAGGGCAAAAGGGAGAACAAGATCACATGCTTCTGAGGCCAATAAAGATCACAAGGCAAAGGGCAATGCAAAGATCACAAGGCAAAGGGCAAACTTAGAATTACTGATGAGGGTCTATGTTCCACTGTGCATGTATTGTCTTGATAAACATCTTAAACAACAGAAAACAGGGTTCAAGAGCAGAAAACCGGTCTGACCTCAGATTTACCACAGCAGGATTTTTTCCCCATCCTAATAAGCCTGAGGGTACCGCAGGAGACCAGGGTGTATTTCAGTCCTTATCTCAACTGCGTAAGACAGACACTCCCAGAGTGGCCGTTTATAGACCTCCCCCTGGGAATGCAATTCTTTTCCTAGGGTCTTAATATTTAATATTCCTTGCTACAAGAAGAATTTAGCGATATCTCTCCTACTTACACGTCTGTTTATAAGCTCTCTGCAAGAAGAAAAATATGGCTCTATTCTGCCTGACCCCACAGGCAGTCAGACCTTGTGGTTGTCTTCCCTTGTTCCCTAAAATCACGGTTATTCTTTCTTTTTCAAAGTGCACTGATTTCATATTGTTCAAACACACGTTTTGCAATCAATTTGTACAGTCAGATACAATTACAGTGGTCCTGACGTGACGTACATCCTCAGCTTACCAAGATATGAGGATTAAGAGATTAAAATAAGACAGGCGTAAGAAATTATAAGAGTATTATTTGGGAAGTGATAAATGTCCATGAAATCTTCACAGTTTATGTTCAGAGACTGCAGTAAAGACAGGTGTAAGAAATTATAAAAGTATTAGTTTTGGGAACTGATACATGTCCATATTAAAATGAAATCTTCACAATTCATGTTCCTCTGCCGCGGCTCCAGCCAGTCCCTCCATTTGGGGTCCCTGACTTCCCGCAACACATACTATGCAACAATAAGCATAAGAAACCTAAAGTAGTAATGACTAAGATTATAAAATATATATATATCATATATCTATATGACAAGATCATAAAAACCATAAATCCGAATAATGGATTTCAAGATTTATGTGGCAAAAATTGACAGAATTAAAAGGAGAAATAGGAAAAATAACAATTCCATAACCATGAGTGAAGGTGTTTAAATCCCTTTTAACAATTGGTAGAAAACTTGAAAAAAATCAGTAAAGGCATAGATTTGAACACTATAATGACCTTACCCTAATCGCCTCAACAACTTCAAATGTACACGGCATGTTCAACAAGATAGGCCATAAGTTAGGCCATAAAATCTCGATACATGTAAAAATACTGAAATCATATATCTCAATGAAATTAGAAATTAATAACATTAAGCCATCTAGAAAACTCCCAAATATTTGAAAATCAAACATATTTATGTCATGAGTCAAAAAGAAATCACACTGGAAATTAGGAAATATTTCAAACTGAATGATAAAGGAAGAATAATATAATTTTTAAAATTATAAAATGAAGCCAAAGCTAAAAAATTGATAAGCCACAACCTAGATTGATTAAATAAAAACAAGATAGGACACAAATAACAAATAGCTCAAAATGAAAGTGGGCCTATTATTATAGATCCAACTGACATTAATTAGGGAATATTATGAACAATTTTATGCTAATTAATTTGGTAACTTACATGAAATCAATTACTTGAAAAAATTTATTGAAGAATAAATGAGACCAAGAAACAATAATTAACGACCAACTCAATAAACCAGGATTGGATCCTGGATTGGAAGTGAAATTGCTATAAAGGTCATTACTAGGACATTGGTGAAATTTGAATATGGACAGTATATGATTATTGTTACATCAGTGTTACATAGTTTGAATTTGGTATTTCATGATGGAAAGCAAAACTTTGATGATTGCTCCAGTCTGTTACTGTACAGCTGAGATTAACTTTGGAATTCTATAGGATCAGAGGTTACAGACTATTTTTAAATTTGGAAACTTTTCAAGTAAAAGCTTTAGGATTTTTGCACTGTGTAACAACCTAGTGAAAATTTCAAAGTCCTTGTCACTTTGTGTTTTAGGATTCACAGAATACATGCTAATGGGATTATGAATCAAAGAAGTAGGACCAAATTGTTCATTCTTAGGTTTAGGGTCAAGAAATTTACAGTACAGTATCTTCTACTTCTGAGTAGAAAGATCTATGGCAGACCAATTCTCTAAGAACTAGAAAAGCAGGATTAAAAAGAACAGAAAAGCAAAACACTGGGAAGAATTTAAATATCCAGTTGAATATTGGTTAAATAATTGCATGACATCTAATTATACAATAATATGCTATTAATCAAATTTGTTATTCTTGTCTTTAAAAACATGGGGAAATGCTTATAATGTGAAGGGGAGCATGATGCCATAGTAATTGTAAAATACAGGAAAATAATTGTTTTCATTTGGAAATATACCAAAATGTTAAGTAATTATGAGCGGCAAGATAGTTTTGTTTTTTCATTCTTGTTTTTGCTTTTTTCCTTCCCAATTTTCTAAAAAGAACGTGCTACTTTTGTAATCAGAAAAATGACACGTTAAGAAAGGAGGGAGGAGTTTATTTTATGCAGTTTAAAACATATATTACATATGTAAAACCATTCTATTGAGTCTGAATCTCTATTTTATTAGCAGGCTTTATTTAAGCATACCTACTAAGCTTACAGAAGTTCCATCTAAGTAAAATTAGTTAACTGATACCCTTTTTATGTAGCAATCATTAAATTTTTAAAAATGTAAACCCTTTAAAATTACATCATATGTCTGATTATCTCATTAAACAAGTTAGCAAGCCTAATTTAATCTTTCAGGAAAACTAAAGGCCATTATTCTGATATATTCACTGTATTGAACTATAAACCAGTGATGCCCTCTAGTGGTACTGATGGACGTACAGTTTACCTTCCCTGTTAGGATGTGTTTACCCTCGTCGGCTAAATTTACCAAGACTGTTGTTTCAGGTGGCAGTACTTGTCTCCCACCTCAATACCAGCATCTAGATCCATGTTCTCAAAACATAATCAGCTTTTGAAGCATGCAGAAGCTCAGGACCTACTCCAGACTTACCAAATCAGAATTTGCATTTTTAAAAGATCCCCACATGAAAAAATGAATAAAAGATCCCCAAATGATTAACATGCGCATTAAATTTTGAGAATATTGCTCTAGGCTACAAAGGAGAAATTTCTTCTGTCCTAACGATCACATGAAGCTGCTTGGTTTTTGCAGTTACCACTCCAGTTGTAACTGTTTTTCCACATAGACCTTCTCATCCCTTATTTCCATCTTGCCCTTTGTTTTTCCGTGTCTCTGGATCAGAAGGAAAAATTGTATAGAAAATGAGATAATGAAATCCTGTACATAAAATTCCAATGATTCCATGCTGAATCTTTTACACAGCAGAAGCAGGACATACAGCAGGCCTTCTGTATGTAAACCCTTTAAAATTACATCATATGTTTGATTATCTCATTCAACAACAGCAAGCCTAATTTAATCTTTCAGGAAAACTAAAGGCCATTATTCTGATATAGTCACTGTATTGAGCTATAAACCAGTGATGCCCTCTAGAGGTACTGATGGATGTGCAGTTTACCTTCCCTGTTGGGATGCGTTTACCCTCCTTGTTGGTTAAATTTACCAAGACTGTGTGTTCCCCATCTGTGGATTCAACCAATTGTGGATCAAAAATGTTCGAGGGGAAAAAAAGATGACTGCATCTGTACTGAATATGTATACTTTTTTTCCTTCTCATTATTCCCTAATCAGCATAACAACTATTTACATAGCTATTTACATTGTATTCACTATTTACATAGCTACTTACATTGTATTCACAATTGTGAAAGCTATTTACATTGTATTCACAATTGTGAATACTATTTACATTCACAACTATAACATATAACATATTATTCACAATAGTTATGTTCACAACTATTTACATACTATTCACAATTGTAAATATTATTTTATAGCTATTTACATAGCTACATATTTACATAACTTTAAAATTTACATATTTACATAACTAAATACATTGTATTCACAATTGTAAATACTATTTACATTCTATTCAGTATAAGTAATCTAAAGATGATTTAAAGTATATGGGAGGATGTGCATACATAATATGCAAATACTACATCATTTTATAAAAGGGGCTTGGGCATCTGTGGACTTTGGTATCCAAGTAGGTGTCCTGGAACCAATCCCCAAGGAATCAACTCTAATGTCTAAGCTCCAGAGCTCCAGGCACTCTGACACCTGAAGTTCTTGAATGAAGTGCCTGTGGATGATATTTGTAGGGCATGTCTATACTGTTAACTAATTTTCTTCATGAAGATTCCAGAATTTATATTCCCAACTGAATTTTGCCCTCTTCAAAGGAGTAACCCTGGGAAAGAGAATAAATGCAACTTATTTTGTTAAAAACCCTTCTATCACTTTTCTTTAGGAATTGTCAGCAGTCAGAACAATATAAGACATTCCTTCTGTCTCATTACTCTCCAGCCATATCTAAAGCTTGAAAAAAAAATCCCAAATTTAACACCTTTGTCATTCAGAACCATCTGATAACCTGCTATTTAAGTAATTTCCACAAATTGAGTGCATTAAAGCACAAAGACTTGCCACTCTAGTGAATACTCAGCACCACTTTTTAAAAGTTATAGAGAAAAAGGTTTAAAATAAGCATCATCTCCTCTGAAGAGAATATGCAATTAGACATAGAATCTGGCACATCTCTTATGAGGAAGAGTCACAGCACTCAATATTTGGCATATATTCTAATTTTTTCAAAATTATACTTACTGGAAAGAAATGGCAAGGCAGAGCGCAAGCAAATTTCACTTAAAAAATTTACAACACACAATACACTTTAACAAATCTACTTTAATTCTAAAAGAAATTAATCTAGAACTGTCAGTAATACACAACATACTTTTATGTTTCTTTTATAGGTATCTATCTAATAAAAGTTTATTTGTGTATGTGCAATGCATAACTCTATCTTAGATATGAATCCTAACAGGATGAAAATACTTTCTTGCAACTACTTTATGCTTATGAAAGGTGTGAACTTGCAATGTCCTCCTGTCTTAAACCCAAGTTGACAGTGCCCTCTCAAAACTTTTCATAAATAATGACCTAATTTCATTTAAAAAATGGTTTCAGCAAATATGAAAATAGAAAGTCCGTTATTTGTCCATTTGTAATATGAGAAAAAAAAAGATGATACATTCCTCTACAGAAAAAGTGGGTTTAGAGAACAGTTCTGGTAGTATTTCACATGGTAAAGTATCAAAAGATCTAATGAGCAGCCCCCTTGCTCAGGGAAAGACAGTGATTTCAATGTGTTTCTCTTCCGAATTGCTTAGTAACTCCAAGTGATTTTCAAATTGGGGGGCAGATTACTGGCACTGAGTTCATCAAATTTAGATCTATCTTGAATAGGGACATTATAGAAATCAAGAACATCTCTAACCCTGCACATCTGGTGGAGTCTGGAGTTAGGGACTACATGACCCAAGTCATCAGCTAAATGAGCCAGAAGATTGAACTTTAGACGACTATCTTCCAGGGAGATGTCTTGCCAATTACTAGGAAGAGATGAACCAAAAACTTCTTTAACGTAAGATTCCAAACGACTCTGGAGATCTTCAGGTGGTGTGTATGCTCGGCTTCGTAAAGGTGGACACACTAGGATAGGTTCCTTTTTCTCTTCTACTGTCTCAACAACCACTGGCTCTTTCTCTTTTCTGGAATGATCAAAAACAAACAGACAAATCCATTAATGAAGTTGACAAACACCAGACCAAATCTTGCCTACCAATCAAAATCAACAATGGCATGCTGATTACCACTGGGGACTACTGAGAGTAGGAAAGAATATGGTAGGCCCCTGCCCTTAGAACGTTCATGGTTGAACTGAGTTGGGAGAGACAGAAAGAAACTAAGTACATATTTTACATACTGTAAGAATTCCTAAGAATGGGTGAAGAAGTAAGGTAAATCATTGTCTGGGATTCCCCATCCTCCAAGATCCCACCCCAATCTACCTTTCTGGTCTTACCTTTCACTGATTACCTACATATACTCCATGTGATACTCTATATCCTGTGTCCCAAGCACACTCCCACTTTCCTGACACAATGTGTTGGCTCAAGTCATATCTTAAAATGCCTGTCTTTTATCTTCACCTATGGAAATCTTGCTTATTCTGTAAGTCTTAGGATAAAATTGTTCTCTTCCAAGATGCTTTACCTAATTTCCAGAATCAAATATAATTGTGATTTCATGTGATCTCTTCAGCAGTTTATACTGCTCTCAGAGTGTATCACATCCTACCTGACTTTTAATTTTACTTACATTCTACTTCACAGAAAGTGAAGAGATGGAAAAAGATATTCCATGCAAACAGAAACCAAAAAGAACAGGAGTAGCTATACTTATATCAGATAAAATAAATTTCAAGTCAAAAACTATAAGAGATAAAGAAGGTCATTACATAATCATAATGAGGTCAATTCAGCAAAAGCATATAACAATTATAAATATATATGCAACCAATATTGGAGAACCTAAACACATAACACAAATATTAATAGATCTAAAGGAAGAGATAGACTACAATACATTAATGGTTGTGGATTTCAACACCCACTCTCAATAACAGACAGATCATCCAGACAAAATCAACAAAGAAAGACTGGAATTACATTCTACACCAAATGGACTTGACACTTAGAGAACATTTCACCCAACTGCTGCAGAATACATATTCTTCTCATGAGTACATGGTACATTCTCCAGGGTAGACTGTATCATAGAACACAAAACAAGTTTTAACAAATTCATAAAACTCAAAATCATATCAAGGACTTTTCTAACGACAATGAAATATAACTAGAAATCAATAACAAGAACTCTAGAAACTATACAACTACATAAAAAATAACATGCTCCCAAATGACCAATGAGTCAATGATGAAATTAGGAAGGAAATTTTAAAACGTCTTGAAGCAATAAAAATGAAAACACAACACATCAAAACCTATGCGATACAGCAGAAGCAGTAGTAAGAGGGAAGCTTATAGTAATAAACATCTACATGAAAAAAGAAAAACTTCACATAAACAATCTAAAGATGTACCTTAAATTAGAAAAAGACAAACCAAATCCAAAATTAGTAGAAGGAAAGAAATAAGATCAGTGTAGAAATAAATAAAATAGACTAAAAAAGCAATAAAAAGATCAATGAATTAAAAAGTTGGTTTATTGAAAAGTTAAAATCAACAAACCTTTAGCTAGACTAAAAAAAACAGAGAAGACACAAATACATAAAATCAGAGGCAAAAAAGGAGATATTACACTGATATCACAAAAATTTAAAGGCTAATTAGAGATTGTTACAAGCAACTATAAGTCAATAGATTGGAAAACCTAGAAGAGATGGATTAATTCCTAGACACGGACAACTTACCAGGATTGAATCACGAAGAAAAAGAAAACCCAAACAGAAATAATGAGAAAGAGGCTGTAATAAAAGTCTCCCATCAAAGAAAAGCTTAAGACCTGATGGCTTCACTACTGAACTCTAGCAAGCATTTAAAGAAGAACTAATGCCAATCAATACGAATTCTACCACAGCTATTCCAAAACACTGAAGAGGAGAGAATACTTCCAAACACACTCTACAAGGCCAGCATTACCCTGAGGCCAAAACCAGACAAAGACAAAATAAAAAAGGAAAACACATTCTACAAGACCAGCATTACCCCGATACCAAAATCAGACAAAGACAAAATAAAAAAGGAAAACTACAGTTCAATATTCCTGATGAGCACAGATGCAAAAACCCTCAACAAAACATTAGCAAGCAGAATTAAACCACACATTAAAATGATCATTCACCATGATCAAGTGGGATTCATCCCAGAATGCAAGAATGGTTCAACATATGCAAATCAACAAATTCGATACATCACATTGATAGAATCAAGAACAAGAATCATGTGATCATTTCAATAGATGCTGAAAAAGCATTTCATACATTTCAACATCCTTTCATGATAAAAACTCTCAATAAACTGGATACTGAAGGAACATACCTCAACATAATAAAGGTCATGCATGACAAACCCACCAAACAAGGACACAAAACAAGCTAGCATCATTGAATGGGAAAAAACTCAAAGCCTTTCCTCTAAGATCTTGAACAAGACAAGGATGCTCACTTTCATCACTTGTATTCAACACAGAACTTGAAGTCCTAGCCACAGCAATTAGACAAGAGAAAGAAATAAAGTACATCAAAATTGAAAAGAAGTCAAATTGTTCTTATTTGATATATGATCTTACGTATCATACGTAAGATATATGATCTTATGTATCATACGTAAGATATATGATCTTATATATCTTGTTGATATATGATCTTGTATTTAGAAAAACCTAAATATCCACCAAAAAAACTCTTAGAAATTATAAATTCAGTAAAGTTTCAGAATACAAAAATCAACATACAAAATCAGTAGCATTTCCATATGCCAATAGTAAACAATCTGAAAAAGAAATCAAGAAATCAATTCCATTAACAATAGCCACACACACAAAAAATCTAGGAATAAACTTCAACAAAGAAGTAAAAGGTCTCTACAATAAAAACTATAAAACACTGATGAAAAAAATTGAAGGGGACACACAAAAAATGGAGATATCCCACGTTCATGGATTGGGAGAATTGATGTTGTTGAAATGCTTATGCTACCCAAAGCGATATACTGTCAATGTAATCTTTATCAAAATACCAATGACGTTCTTCACAGAAATAGAAAAAAAAATCCTAAAATTCGTATGAAACCACAAAATGCCTTGAATAGCCAAAGTAATGCTAAGCAAAAAAAAAAAAAAAAAAAAAAGACCACACCTAACTGACCCCACCTTGCTTCTAACCTTTAAGCTGTCCTTGTTCATTCCTGGGCATAGGCCAAACTAACCTTGGGAAGGAAATGAGTTTACAGTTTGACTCTGAAACAAAATTGGTAATAGCCTTTTTCTGAAAAGACCTCCCTCTTGCCTGGGAACCAGTTTGCTTTTGTAGGACTAACAAATTAGCTACAAGATTAGAAATTATGGTTAGGGGTCATTCAGACTCCGGCTGCAAGAGTCTGATCCTCCCCAAATTGCTCCTGGGATAACACTGCTATTGTAAAATTCAAGGTCAGTGCTTGAGATATTTTGCAGACCCTGCACTCAATGGATTAGCTTACACCACCAAAGCCGGTAATCTGGCTCAATCAGTTCTGTGATCCCACCCAGGATCATAAGTTGGCAAGAACTCACTTAGACCCCCTATGATTTCATTTCTAACCCAACCAATCAACACTCCCCATTTCCTAGGCCCCTACCTGCCAAATTATCTTTAAAACCTCCGATTCCCAAGTTTTCGGGGAGACAGATTTGACTAATAATAAAACTCCAGTATCCTCACAGCTGACTCTGCGTGAATTACTCTTTCTCCATTGCAATTCCTCTGCCTTGATACATCAGCTCTGTCTAGGCAAAGTGAACCCGTTGGGCAGTTACAAAATTATAACCCTACTAGAAGAAAACATTGGGGAGATGCTTCAGGACATTGGTCTGGGCAACGACTTCTTGAGTAAGACCTCAAAAGCACAGGCAATAAGAACAAAAATAGACAAATGGGATTATACTAAACTAAAAAGCTTCTGTGTAGAAGAAAACATTGGGGAGATGCTTCAGGACTTTGGTCTGGGCAATGACCTTTTGAGTTAAGACCTCAAAAGCACAGGCAACAAGAACAAAAATCAACAAATGGGATTATATCAAACTAAAAAGCTTCTGCATAGCAAAGGCAACAATAAACAAAGTGAACAGGCAACCTAGAGAATAGGAGAAAAATTGGCAAACTATCCAACAAGGGATTAATAACCAGAATATACAAGGAACCCAAACAACTCAGTAACAACAACAAAAAAAACCTGATTTAAAAATAGCAAAAGATCTGAATACATATTTCTCAAAGAAGATATACAATGACCAACAGGTATATAAAAAAAATGATCTCTAATCATCAGGGAAATGCAACTCAATAACACAATGAGGTATTATCTCACCTGAGTTAAAATGACTATTATTTAAAAGACAAAAAATAACAAATGCTGGCAAGGATGTAAAGGGGAATACCAGTACACTGTTGGTGGGAATGTAAATTAGTACAACTGCTATGGAGAAAAGCATGGAAATTTCCCAAAGAAATTAAAAATAAAATTACCATATGATCTGGCAATCCCACTGCTGGGTATACATCCAAAAGAAAGTTAATCAGTCTAACAGAGATATCTGTACTCCATGTTTATTACAGCACTATTCACAATAGCCAAGATATGGAATCAAACTAAGTTTCTACCAATGGATGAATGGATATTAAAAAAACCGTACATATACTCAATGGAATATTATTCAGCCATTAAAAAAGGATGAAATCCTGTCATTTGCAGTAACATGGATGAAACTGGAGGACACTCTTTAGTGAAATAAGCCAGGTGCAGAAAGACAGATATCGCATGTTCTCGCTCCTATGTGTGAACCAAAAAAAAAAAAAAGACCTCATGGAGGTAGTAATAAATTGATGGTTACCAGAGGCTGGGAAGGGTAGTGAGGAGGTAAGGTATGAAGACAGATTGGTTAGAAATACAGTTAAAAGGAGTAATACAGTTAGAGAAGAGGACTACAGCTAAAAAGAGTAAGTTCTAGTGTTTGATTTCACAATTGGGTGACTATAGTTAGTAGTAATTTATTTGTATTTCAAAATAGCTAGAAGTGAAGATTTAGAATGTTCCCAAAACAAAGAGATAAATAACGTGATGGATACGTCAACTATTCAGATTTGGCTATTACACATTGTATGCTTGCATCAAAATATCACATGTACCCCATAAATATCTACAACTATTATGCATCCATAAACATTAAAAAAAAATTACAAATAAACATCACCTCATACCCATTAGGATGGTCATTACCAAAAAGACAAGTGTGGTGAGGACATGGAAAAAACGGCACCCTTATATGCTGCTGGTGGGAATGAATATTGGCATAGCCATTATAAAAAACAGTATTAAGCTTCCTCAAAAGTTATAAACAGAACTATCCTAACTATCCTAAGATCTAGCAATCTTACTACTCGGTATATATCCAAAGGAAATGAAAGCAGTATCTCAAAGAGACATCTGCACTCTCATCTTCATTGCAGCATGTGTGTATACATGTAAATGTATACATGTATACACACACATACACAATATTTAAGGCTGAATAAAATGCCATAAGTGTGTCTATATGTATATGTGTACCTATGTATGAATATATGTATATATTATGTGCTTGCATATATACACACACAAAAAATGGCATTTTATTCAGCCTTAAAAAAGGATATTTGTAACACATGGATGAACCTGGAAAATATTATGCTAAGAGAAATAAGCCAGACAGAGTAATACCACATGATCTCACTTATATGTAGTATCTAAAAAGTCAAATTAGGCCGGGTTTAGTGGCTCACGCCTGTAATCCCAGCACTTTGGGAGGCTGAGGTAGGTGGATCATGAGGTCAAGAGATCGAGACCATTCTGGCCAACATGGAGAAACCCTGTCTCTACTAAAAATAAAAAAATTAGCCGGGCGTGGTGGCGGGCACCTGTAGTCCCAGCTACTCGGGAGGCTGAGGCAGGAGAATCGCTTGAACCTGGGAGGCGGAGGTTGCAGTGAGCCAAGATAGCGCCACTGCACTCCAGCCTGGAGACAGAGTGAGACTCCATCTCCAACACAAACAAAAAAAAAGTCAAATTCATAGAAACAGAGAGTAGGATGGTGGCTACCAGGGGTGGCGGAAATGAAGAGACGTTGGACAAAGGTAAAATTTAAATTATGTAGAATGAATAAGTTCCAGAGATCTAATGTACACCATGGTGACGATCATTAATAATACTGTACTGTATACTTGAAATCTTCTGAGAGTAAATCTTAAGTGTTTTCACCACACACACAAAAATTCTAACTGGCCAGGTGTGGTGGCTCACCCCTGGAATCCCAGCAATTTGGGAGGCCAAGGTGGGAAAATTACTTGAGTCCAGGAGTTCAAGACCAGCCTGTGCAACATAGTGAGAACTCCTTTCTCTAAAACAAAACAAAACAGAAAGTATGTGAAGAGATGAATATGATAATTATCTTGACTAATAATCAACATCAAGTTGTATATCTTAAATATATAAAATTTTTAAAATAGTAAAGAAAATATAATCATCATTCTCAGTAATCTATTTCCTCTAGTTTTCTTCATAATTTACCACTTTCTGAAATTACATTACACATTTGTTCATTTCTTCCTCCATTAGAACATATGCCCTACGAGAACAAAAATTTGGTCTGTTTTAGTAACCACTGTATTCTTACAACACCTAAGATATAGCCTGGCATATAGTAAACAGCCTAAAAAATATTTGTTGAGTGAATGAATAAAACAAACTTGGAAGAGATTTGAGAGATAATAACAAATATTGACCAAAGAAGAGGGAAAGCTAATATCTGAACTGATGAAAAAGATCTTTCCTAATTGTAGTGGTTTTTGTTTTAAACCTAAGAGAGCATACATTGCTCCCTAGGGTTCCTACCATACGTTTTGATTTCCTAAACACTATCTAAGTCAAATTAGATTTACCTTCAAACAATTACACATGGTGCAGCCGTGCAGCAGAAAAAGCAGTAGATGGGGAGTTAGGAGACATATGTTCTAGATCCAGCTTTGCAATTAACTTGCTTTGTGACTTTGGGAAAATCACTTCCCTCCTGTGGGCCTGTTTCCTCATATGTTGGAGTACCTCGAGGATGAGAATGGATTTTGTTTTTCCTGCTGTATCCTAGGCGCTTAGAGTAATGCTGGCCCTAAGAAATCTGTTGAATGACTGAATGAATGAACAAACAAAAGGAGGAGGCAGTACTTCATTACTGAACCTTGCTTGTGAAGAAACACA
This sequence comes from Homo sapiens, assembly GCF_000001405.40. Lineage (NCBI taxonomy): Eukaryota > Metazoa > Chordata > Mammalia > Primates > Hominidae > Homo > Homo sapiens. The sequence goes on from NC_000009.12 coordinate 101,398,150, forward strand.
GCCGGCAAATGAGTTTAGTTTACCAAGCGCTTTCATGTGTTTGCAGACAACACACTCGGTGTCTCGCACACGAGGTTAATCCTGCTTGCTTAATAAATAAATGAATGAGTGAAGTGAAAAGGAAAGGGGGTGGTATTTCCGTTATAAAATGAGAAAACTAAGGCCGAGAGTGGAAGAGACTGGGTCCCACCACTCAATGAGTGCTTCTCAACTCGGGACCCTAACCGGACCTCCTTGTCCTTGCTCTGATCAGGCGCGGGACCACGATGGCGTAACACTCTATTTTGAATTCGTCCCTAATCCTCCTTAACTTTCCTTGAACATGACCCACCGTCCACCATAAAGCTTTACCTGAATCGAGACCAAAATTCTCTACATGGTGTCCCTGAGACTGTCCACATGAAGACTCTTCTGGTAATGCCCGACACAGATCGCGCCGCCATCTTCGATGAGATCCACGGGCCTGAGCGCAGCCTTCAGCCAGCAGTGACGCGCCCAGACCAGCCAATCGGATACAATCCCAGTGGCAAGAGCTTTCTTTTTCCTGTAGGCTCCCTCGCCCTTTGCACGCTGGGAAATGTAGTCCAGTAGCTGTTGCTGGCGGCGTCTGGACCGCGGCGCTCTTTCCGAGCATGACGGGAGTTGTAGTTGAGGGGGCCTCGGGAAGAATCTGGGTGACGCCTTCTGGTCCGGGGGCGGGCGGTCATAGCGTTACTTGGCTGCAAGGAGGAGGAACTGGCAGCGGGGAGGAGGCTCTAGCGAGGCCTGAAAGGCTGCGTAACCAGGCAGGAGTAGGGGTTGGGGTTCGGGGTTGGGGGACAGCCAGGGATCGCGTCTGATATGCTGTTGGGGTCGTGACCGTCTGGGGGCCGAGGCAGGCACTGGCCAGACCCAGCCAGGGATCCTCGTATTCGTCGAGCCTAATTTCCAGCAGCCGGGTAGGCCTCACCAGAGGCTCCTTTCCGTGAGGCCGCCCCCAATTCCTGCCCCTATTCTCTGCCTGGGAGATGGCTTCCCCGAGCCCCCCGCCGGAGTCGAAGGTAAGTAAGCACCCCCCCGGGGATCCCGGTTGTCTCGCCGCTACCCCAGCTAGGCCGCACCACTGCTTTCTCCCCCAGGCCCCCCACCAACCTCCTGACCGCCTCTTTAGGGCCAGCGCCTTGCAAGGAACTCCCCACTAGTGCATTGGGGTGCGGTTCGCGAACAAACTGCCCACTGGCTCCCTTTTTTTTTTTCTTTTTCTAGAGAGACTTGATAAATCGGCCTGAGAAAATAAGTAATGCTCCAGACTAGCTCTCTCATTTGTGAGTTCTCCAGGTGAAGCACCATTTTTGACCTTCCCTTGTGTCTTCTGTTCCTGGCACAGTGCCTGGACCCCAAGGTACACGCTTAGAGAACCTCAAGGAATTGAATTGAATAGAGTCACAAGCCAGTGCAAATGGAAAATTGAAGTAGGCAATGAGGTGAGGGAAGCTTGGAGAGGCCTTGGGGCAGTTTACTAAAATTAAACTCTCAGGGCATAATAAATCAGAAAAGCCTTATCCGTAGGTCCTTTCTAGTCTGAGATGTCTGTCAGTTACAGTTCGTTCCCAGAATTGGGCAACATATGGAACTTTCAGTTATCATGTTCCTCCTAGCCTACTTGGCCACAATAAGTGATTGCCTCTGTCACTTTTAGTGGTAGAATTGTCCTTGAGACAACAGGAACTGACTACAGAAATCATACTATTTCAGGGGTTGCTGACATTTGAGGATGTGGCTGTGTTTTTTACCCAGGAGGAGTGGGATTATCTGGACCCAGCTCAGAGAAGCCTGTATAAAGATGTCATGATGGAGAATTATGGAAACCTGGTCTCACTGGGTAAGAATCTGCTGTTTCTCTAATTAAAATATCTAAGAAGGTAGAGAGAAATCAGACTAACAGAACATTTGGACGGAAACCAGTACCAAAACTGCTTTGTTCCAAAGTTCTGATTCAAACCTTTTAGCCATTAATTGTTTCCATAACTCTCATCCCTAGCTTCCTTGAGGTGACCAAACTGCAAGCCTTTCGGGCATCCTGTCTTCATAATCTCATTCCCATATTGTTCTGTACTTTCCGTCCTGGCTCATCCTCCCACAGCTTTCCTCCCACCCCTTTTCACTCTGCGTTCTGGAACCCCTGTTCGTCTTCACATAATGTTCCTTCCCTCCTGGCCTTAACTGAAACCTGGCACTATCCCAAGGACAACGTTTCTCTGGCAGTTTTTCAAGTGGGGGCTGCTTATTCTCCCACATCCTCCTCCTTCCCCATCCTTTGTCTCAATGTTGGAAGGGGGAAGTTATTGTTCACTCAGCTTTTAAATGCTGTCCCCAAAGCATTAGTTTTCCACCTTCAAACAAAATCTCTCCTTCTTTGAGGTCTCAGCAGTCTTGCTTTTTCCACTCAATTCCTTTTCACTATCTGTCAACTTTTAGTTTGGTCCTTCACACATAACTTTGTCACATGTTTCATAGTCTATTTTAACTCGTGCCATGGATGACCCAGTTAATACTTCAGCCTCAGTGGATCTTCAGGGACCCTGCTTTCCACTTTTACTCAGCACCTTACATCATTGATCATACCAGTTTTGTCATAACAGGCAAATCGTAAATCCCAATACCCTATTCTCTGACCAGTTATTCGGAAATGGAAGTTTATTGACTGTGACTAGACGAGGGTAACCAAAACAGACAGGCTTTCTCCCCTTGTGGAGCTTACTACAACTTCTCTATCTTTCCTACTCCTTTCCACCTAAACCCATTCATTATTAACGATGTTTCCTGTCCCTTGACGTCTCTGTTTTTTCACTGAGGTGTCCAACCTTTCTGGGCTTGTATCCCCATCTAATCACCAGCAAGCTCTCTTGCTAGCTTGTCATTATTCTCTACCCATTCTGCAAACTTCAAATCCTGTATTTGTTATAAAATTCACCTTTCTCTCTTTCCTACCCAAATTGCTAAACATAGCAGGAGAAATTCTCTAACCAGAAAGATTGATATCCTTTATATAAGTATGGCCTTTTTCTTCCACTCTCCACTGGGTTTTTATATCTTAGCAATATTTTTTGTCACTGATATGCTCACTGCCCTGTTCTTTTTAGTGACTATTCCAAAAGCTTATCCATCATTAAGTAGTGAAGCTCACCTTCTGTTTCTCAGAGAAAATAAAGGCCAATAAGCATGAACTCTCAACTTCTCTGCCTCTTATCTACACACTTAAAGCTGCTCTCATCTTCTCACCTTTCCAGAAACTAATCAGTCATTCTTTTTTCCCTTTTAGTTTCAGTCACTATTTCTTCTCCCTTGGTACCCTTATTCTGATGATTGGTATGTTCATAACTCTTCAACAGGAGAAAAGAGAGGAAAAAAGAAAAAATCCCTCCTATGAGTCAGACTCTCCCTCTTGCTGCTGCCTATGATTTACTACTTGTTCTCTTCATAGTCAAGATTTTGTAAGAGTAGTTAATGTGTGTTCTGTATTTCTTTACCTCCCCTTGTGTCTGAGCCCCTTTGTCTTGCCTCTAATACTCCCTTTAAATTGTTTAACAGTGATCTGTAACACGTCATTGTCAAATGCAGTAGACTCTTTTGGGACCTTATTTTAGTCTACCTCTCTATGAATATGTGAAACTCTTTATTGTTTCCCTCCATTGGCTTGCATTCTCAGACTTCCCCTCAGTCTGTACTCTTTCCTTGGGGGACCTTACCTACACTCAGGTCATCAGCTACCGCTCTGTGAAAATAAGTCCCATTTTTTTTTTCAAGTCATAGCCTCATTCTGTTGCCCAGGCTGGAGTGCAGTGGTGCAATCTCAGCTCACTGCAGCCTCCACCTCCTGGGTTCAAGAGATTCTCCTGCCTCAGCCTCCTGAGTAGCCGAGACAAACAGGCATGCACCGCCACACCCAGCTAATTTTTGTATTTTTAGTAGAGAAGGGGTTTCACTGTGTTGGCCGGGCTGGTCTCGAACTCCCGATCTCAGGTGATCCGCCCACCTTGGCCTCCCAAAGTGCTGGGATTACAGGCGTGAGCCACCGTGCGTGGCCCAAATCTTTATTTCCACCTAAGAAAGGTAATGTGGAGCCTAACTGCCTAGGTTTAAATCCTTGTTCCACCACTTACTTAGCCTGGTGAGTATAGTGATTTAATCTCTCTTTGCCTCAATTTATTTTTTTATAAAATGGAAATAATAATAGCACCT